>NC_000010.11:5919090-6070606 GCF_000001405.40 Homo sapiens | reverse complement strand
AGCTGGGTGTTAAGGAGTGAGTGAGCTTTGGGCTTATGGATTTAACAGAGGAAACCAAGAAAAGAGGAGGCGGTGTTGCAGGAACAGTGAGCAGTTGATGATTTTTATTTTGTTCTCTGGTCTGCTTGGGAACATTTTTGTGGCAAAGACAGCATGAAGGATAGCGAAGAATTAATACTGAAGAGATAGGCCAGGGCAGGTTATGAAGGATTTTGAATACCGGGCTAAGAAATGTGGGCTTAATTTCAAAGACATTATGGACACTCCTAAAATGTTACGTTGTAGATAAGGGAAAAGTATTCTTCCAGAAGATTAAATTGGGGCTGGGCACGGTGGCTCACGCCTGTGATCCCAGCACTTTGGGAGGCGAAGTGGGCAGATCACCTGAGGTCAGGAGTTTGAGATCAGCCTGGCCAACGTGGTGAAGCCCCATCTCTACTGAAAAAAAAAATTAGCCGGGCATGGTGGTGGGTGCCTGTAATCTCAGCTACTTGGGAGGCTGAAGCAGGAGAATCACATGAACCTGGGAGGCAGAGGTTGCAGTGAGCCAAGATTGCACCACTGCATTCCAGTGGGCGACAGAGCAAGACTCAGTCAAAAAAAAAAAAGATTAAACTGGAAGCAATGGGTAAGAATGGTGGAGTGGAGAGACACATTTGAGTGAGGGAAGCCAGCTGAAAAGCTGTACAGACGTCTAGACAAAATGTGACACAAGCATGCCTTCACCTCCCTGCAAAGACCACAGACCACTGAGCTCCAAAGGGGGTTTGGAATCCTTGTCCTGGGCCGCCATTGGTAACTCATCAGTGCTGGCTTGAGAGATAAACTCTATTATCCATCCCTGAACTAAAATCATGACAGAAGTGGCCAGGGAGCTTTGCTGCTATCCCCCCAGGAAACACGTCCTCCACTCAAATGGAAAGAGGACCCTCTGACAACATCTGTGGGACCCAACAGCACTGGTCACCACAAGCCACAAAATGTTAACAAAGTCAGTTTTCAATTGTTAGGGACGGAGGACTCAGTTCATGATTCATACAAACCAACTGTTCTCTCCCAGTGTTTTCTGGGTGGCACAACCCACAAGTCAACAGTGGCTTGGGAACTAGACATTTGAGTAGAGTTGGGTTATTTGATTCATAGTGGATTTTGGTTTTCCACGGGACCCCTGTGCCCTTGTCTAGTAGAATCTGGTGGAAATTACAAACTGCAGAAATTCAACTCAGTGCCGCAATAACAGGATGCACCTGTAGATTTCGTAGAATTAGCAGCAGCATTCTTTCAATACCAGTTTGAGAGAAATAACCCTGTTTGCATAGTGCCAACTGGGGCAGAATCTGAAGTGTCTTGCCTGCCTCTCGGCCATGGGAGGCACCGATCTCAGCAACATCTATCCAACCGCCATCCACTTAACAAGCAAAGATGGAAGGCCCTCGTGCTCCAGGCTATCCTGCAATGGTTCATTTGCTTTTGATGGGATTATCACTTTGACAGATGTGCTTGCAATTAACTGGGGGCTTTCTGCTTCCAATCCAAATTCCCACAGGTGGATCACTGGCTCTTGGGGAGCAAAAACCCTTCTTTGTTTGTTTTTGCTTCTCCCAGAGCCTGGGCAGAGCTCCCCATTCCTGGATCCTACGTTGATATGCACTGAATTGAATTATACTAAAGGGTGCACCCAAGAGTGCATGAGCGAAGTAAAATGTAATTTGTGGGACCTCATGTGGACATTTCAGGTCCGTGTGTACAAGATAAAGGAGAGAAAATCCTGGGGGACACCACAGGCCTGGGAAAATGACCTCCTACTAAGCCTAACAAGAACATCCAGTACATAAACAGCAGGCTCTCTGCAACCGCTTCAGTCCTTCCACTGCCACGCTCCCAGAAAGCAAAGGGTTATCTCCTGTTCGGATTTTGGCTCTGAGACCACAGCTCAGCACATCACTCCTCTAGAGAAAAGAAAGTCTAAGATGAGAGAGTGAGGCTGCTTTCATGTGGTGCCAGCGTATAGTGCAGGGCAGGCCTGATTGCTGAACGGATCCCTGCAGACGTGAGCGGTCACTTCCCCTTTTGAGGGCCCATTTCTTTTCCTCTTTGAGGAGACTGTGAGCGTCCTCAGTGCAGGGCTATGTTTTAGCTTCTTGGCTCTCCTCACAGGTTCTAGCATAATTCTTTGATTAATTGCAGTCAACGTTTATTGATGGATTATGTGACAGAGGTGAAATTCTTTGATCTGGGTTTCAGCTTTTCCTTTCCCCCACTCCCTCCTTTTTCTTTTTTTTTTTTTTTTTTTTAGAGGCGAGGTCTTGCTCTGTGGCCCTGGCTGGAGTGCAGTGGTGCAATCATAGCTCATTGCAGCCTTGACCTCCTGGGGTCAAGCGAACCTCAACGTCTTGGCCTCCTGAGTAGCTGGGACTATAGGCATGCGCCACCACGCTCAGCTTCACCTTTTCCTTTCCTTGTGCTCCCCTGGCAGATATGCTGGTAAACAATGAACCAGTCAAGAGGACAGCAACAGGAGGAAAATGGGAGAAACCCCATTATTCGTGGACTAAACAGGCTTCCCACTAGTCCTGGCTCACAGAGGAAGTCATGCTCCATGTTTCAAATGTCCTCAAAGCTCGTTCAACTCCAAAATGCATGAAGACAAAATGGGAATTTTACTCAAGATTTTTGTGGGCTGTTGGGGAGAAGAGTTAACATTGCAAAGCATATTGCAAACTCTTATCTTCAAATGATTTTAAAATTTTCTTCCAAGCTCTTTATTATTTCTCCAGAGCTGCCCTGCTCTTCCCACTCTGGGTCCTTTCTCTGCCACTCTCCTCAGCATGACTTCTCCCTAATCGGCCAGCATTTCTTTTATTCTATAGAGCAAGTTTTCTTGCCCTGGGCACCTCTCATTTGCATGTTATACCACCACACCAAGTGAGCCTCAGAGCACCAGTGTTTTAATCCCTGAAAACAGTCCTTACGGGATTCAGCACAGAGGTCCTCTTGGCAGCCTGTAGTCTCCAGAGTGACACGTCCTCAACAGTCAAAGTGAGCAAGCTATGGTGCCCATCACCAAGTGGGGCTCACCATTTCCCTCTGCGTTCACTTCTCTCCTACCTTCTTCCTTATCCCATCCTTCCTCCTTCCTTTTTTTTTCTGCATTCAATTATTCATGGTTATTCATTTCATACGGGCATCTGTGCCACTTGGTTCTACAGGCATTTTTTTTTTTTGAGACAGACTTTTGCCCTTGTCCCCCAGGCTGGCGTGCAGCGGTGTGATCTTGGCTCACTGCAATCTCCACCTCCTAGGTTCAAGCAAGTCTCCTGCCTTAGCCTCCCAAGTAGCTGGAATTACAGGCATGTGCCACCAAGCCCGGCAAATTTTTGTATTTTTAGTAGAGACAGGGTTTCACCATGTTGGCCAGGCTGGTCTCAAACTCCTGACCTCAGGTGATCTGCCTGCCTCGGCCTCCCAAAGTGCTGGGATAACAGGCGTGAGCCATCGTGCTCGGCCGGTTCTATGGGCATTGTGGAAGTGACCGTTAACAAGCCCCAAGGGTAAGTAAAGGAAAATGAAAGGTGATTGATTCCTCACCACCTCTCCCCTTTTTTCCTCTACTCTTTGCCCCTGCTCCCCAATCTAGACTCTAATAAACAGAAATGATTTTTGTTGCAAGCTGAAAACTCGTTCTTGTGGTTGGGGCTAGGGGGGTGGCAAGTCAAGCTTTAGAGTTGTCTGGATAATAAATGCTGTCTTCAAGGACTGTCCAACATTGTAGGAACAAGAGAACAACCCAAGTGAACAACTAACTCCTGTTCACAAATGCTACTGCCTCTCTGCCATCCCCTAACCTCAGCCTCACACACTTGAATTTCGCCAATCCATTTGATGAGCTCAAATCAGTGAATTTTCTCCTCGCCAAAGCTCACAAATTCTGTTCCCCGCTTCTTGCCCCACATCCAGGCATTACCAACTGCATTTTCCCTTTGCCTGATATTCTGGCATCAAGCCTCCTTGCCATTCCAATTTATTTCACCTTCCTCCAGTCCTTATGATTTCCTTCCTGAAGAGTATTTCAGCATCTCTATGCCTCAATCTTCCCTGCACACCACACCAGCTCGGCCTCATCATCACATCACTTGGCTATGTCCCGCCTGGGTTAGACAGCTTCAGTGGCTGAAGTCCATAGATCTTATTCTGTTTTTCGAGGTCCACCTGACTCTGAATCCAGCTGATATTTCTGCCCTTAGCTTCTACCCCTCTCTACTTCTGGTTAACTATGGACCACACTCTGCTTCCTCAGGAACCACCTACCAAGGCCGTATCCATCCTTCAAGGACAATACGTGGGCCTTTCCTGATCACATCAGCTCAACAACTTTTCCCTCCTACATTTCAATTGCTCTTCTTACCATAATCATTAGTATTCACCCCACTGTACGTCTAGAAAGAAAGTGGTCTTAAACCTAAGGGAAGGCAGTCTAGGTCAGAAATTTGTTGTCCGCTGTTCTGAGCAGTTTCTTCTAGGAAGTACCAAACATTTCTGATAATAGAATTGAGCAATTTCCTGATGAAGTGAGACTCAGCTTGCACTGTTGACCGGCTGTCCCTGGATGAACCTAGTTACTTTTAACCAAATGTTCCTTTCTTGAACTTGTTCCTTTCTTGAACTTAATCTACCAATGTTATCTAGATAACTTTCCTCAAAAAAAAAAAAAAAAAAAAAAACCCTCTACTAGGAAAGAAATCTTTGAACCGGACTTATTGGAAATTACCTCCTTGCAGCAGGTTTGAAACAAAACTTTGAATTTGCCTCACAAAGAATTTGTCTGAAACTGCTTTAGTATATGCTAGTTATATTTGTATGCACATGTGGCTTCATACATAGTGGTTGGACACCCATATGTGTTATGCACTTTGTTAGGTGACGTAAGTTCACAGATAAACTGGACATAGGGCTATCCTCTAGAGGCCCACAGTTTGACACCTTAACCTGAGATCCTTGGACCTTTGAAGTTCAGAGTGCCCACAACCGCTGGGTGTGGTGGCTCACACTTGTAATCCCAGTACTCTGCAGGGCTGAGGTGGGAGGATCGCTTGAGTCCAGGAGTCTGAGACCAGCCTGGGCAACATGACAAAACCCCATCTCTACAAAAATTACAAAAAAAATTAGCCAGGCCTGGTGGTGCATGCCTGTGGTCCCAGTTACTTGAGAGGCTGAAGTGGGAGGATCACTTGAGTCAAGGAGGTAGAGGCTGCAGTGAGTTGAGATGGCAACACTGCACTCCAGAAACCCCATCTCAAACAAAACAGAGCAAAACAAAACAAACTGCCCATAATGCTCCTGAAACTTCCTACGGATTTATCCAGAGTATGTGCTGATGTGCATTTTTTCCAAGGAGGGAAACCAAAGGTTCTATCAAATTAAGAAAAGAGTTTTTACCATTGTGGAAGACAGTATGGCGATTCCTCAAGCATCTAAAATCAGAAATACCATTTGACCCAGCAATCCTATTACTGGGTATATACCCAAAGGAATAGAAATCATTCTACTATAAAGTCACATGCACCCGTATGTTTATTGCAGCACTATTTACAATAGCAAAATGGAACCAACTGAAATGCCCATCAATGAGACTAGATAAAGAAAATGTGATACATATACACCATGGAATACTATGCAGCCATGAAAAGGAATGAGATCATGTCCTTGGCAGGGACATGGATGAAGCTGGAAGCCATTATCCTCAGCAAACTAACACAGGAACAGAAAACCAAATGCCGCATGTTCTCACTCATAAGTGGGAGTTGAACAATGACAGCACATAGACATAGGGAGGGGAACATCACACGCCAGGGCCTGCTGCAGGGTGGGGGGTGGGGTGTGAGGGGAGGGAACTTAGAAGACAGGTGAGTAGGTGCAGCAGACCACCATGGCGCACTTATACCTATGTAACCAACCTGCACGTTCTACACATGTATCCTGGAACTTAAATTAAAAACAAAAAAGAGTTTTTAATCCAAAAAAGATTAACAGCAACTAGAAGAAAGAAAGAGATATAAACAGTGAATTGCAATGCAGCACGGCAGGTGTTATGATGGAGTAGAAAGGACTGGAAAAGGCCTCCTGGAGGAAGGGACACTCAAGTGTCTTTCCATTTCACCTGTAAACTCATTAAGGGCAAAAGCTTTGCTACAGCTTCAGTATGAGATCCTGGGCAATCCGTGACAAAATGGGTCTGCTTTTGCACCCCCAACTTCTTCTCACATCCCTGCATCGTGCCATGCAGCATCAACTGGAAACCTCAGCATCAGCAAACGACGACAGAGCGTTCATCCGTAAGGTGAACCAGAAAAGCCAGTTCAATGACTTGTTTAACCATGGTCCATCTCAGAACCAAGAGTTGGGCCTCTTATTTACCAGAAAAATTGTGGGGGCTTTGTGATATGGCTTTAAAAAAATCTTGTAATTGCCAGGCGTGGTGGCTCACACCTGTAATCCCAGCACTTTGGGAGGCCGAGGTGGGTGAATCGCCTAAGGTCAGGAGTTCGAGACCAGCCTGACCAACATGGTGAAACTCCGTCTCTACTAAAAATACAAAAACTAGCTGGATGTGGTGACGCGTGCCTGTAATCCTAGCTACTCAGGAGGCTGACGCAGGAGAATCACTTGAACCTGGGAGGCAGAGGTTGCAGTGAGCCAAGATTGTGCCATTGCGCTCCAAAAAAAAAAAAAAAAAGACATTAACATAAATTTAAATATTTTATAATGACAATCCACATTAACTACTTAAAGCATAAGCTATTTTCCAGGAGAGGCAGCAAGTGCATTCTACTCCCATGCCCAAGAAGAAAGGAGCGTGACTTTGGTGGGAGTACTAGGAGTTTCTACTGGAGCACTTGCCCGCAGAGTGAGAAACGTTCCTAGAGAGGAAGTTATACCTGCTGTGGAATTTAAGAGAATCTTGTCATATTTTGACAAGTTTTTTGAGATGGAAGTCTCACTCTGTCGCCCAGGCTGGAGTGCAGTGGCGCAATCTCAGCTCACTGCAGCCTGCACCTCCTCGGTTCCAGCTATTCTCTTGTCTCAGCCTCCTGAGTAACTGGGATTACAGGCGCCCGCCACTACGCCTGGCTAATTTTTGTATTTTTAGTAGAAATGGGGTTTTACCATGTTGGCCAGACTGGTCTCAAACTCCCGACCTCAGGTGATCTGCCTGCCTCAGCCTCCCAAAGTGCTGGAATTACAGGCGTGTGCCACTGCGCCTGGCTAATTTTTTTTTTTTTTTTTTTTTTTTTTTTTTTTTAGTAGAGACGGTGGTTTCACCATGTCATCCAGGCTGGTCTCAAACTCCTGACCTCAGGTGATCCACCCACCTTGGTCTACCAAAGTGCTCGGATTACAGGCATGAGCCACCAGGCCCAGTCAACGTGATGTGTTTTGGAACCCTGAATTCCTTGGCTTGCCCGGAGGGTTTTCTTTTTGTTAATATCTTTGCTTGCTTTCTAGTATTTAAAAAATTGTGTTTTGCTCTAACTATGCAATGGCTTTAAGTCTTAGACAAATTTCCAGGGAGCAAAACACACTCAACCATTTCATAATAATCAGAAGAGAGCTCTGATCAATAAATAAGCAAGACTGAATTTTACAAAATAATCCAAAGTTTAAAACCAAAGCCCACTTTTTGCATGATCCTTTAAGAGAAAGAAATCTGGAAGCAAAACACCTTATAAAATGACAATGCACTTTCAGGAGCCCAGGGCACTGTGGTGAAATGATGATGGCTAGTACAGGTTATAAGCCTTGGGGAATTATTTATGAATTCTCAGGATCCTTCAGTTCGCCGCATCCTTCTCCATTATTTGAATATTGGAGGCTGCCTGACCAGAATCTTGTCAGGACTTTGCTCCTTCATCCCAGGTGGTCCCGGCTGACTCCTGAGGACGTTACAGCCCTGAGGGGAGGACTCAGCTTATGAAGTGCTGGGTGAGACCACTGCCAAGAAGTGCTTGCTCACCCTACCTTCAACGGCAGGGGAATCTCCCTCTCCTTTTATGGGCGTAGCTGAAGAAAGGATTCATAAATGAAGTTCAATCCTTCTCATCAACCCCAGCCCACACCTCCAGCAATTGAACTTGAAAAAAAAAACCTGGTTTGAAAAATTACCGCAAACTATATTGTCATCAAAAAAAAAAAAAAAAAAAAACACTTCCTATATTTGAGATGAGAGAAGAGAGTGCTAGGCAGTTTCCTGGCTGAACACGCCAGCCCAATACTTAAAGAGAGCAACTCCTGACTCCGATAGAGACTGGATGGACCCACAAGGGTGACAGCCCAGGCGGACCGATCTTCCCATCCCACATCCTCCGGCGCGATGCCAAAAAGAGGCTGACGGCAACTGGGCCTTCTGCAGAGAAAGACCTCCGCTTCACTGCCCCGGCTGGTCCCAAGGGTCAGGAAGATGGATTCATACCTGCTGATGTGGGGACTGCTCACGTTCATCATGGTGCCTGGCTGCCAGGCAGGTAAGGGCCTGTGGGTGCCCCCGGAATTCCGGGAAGGCTGATGGGCATCCCTCTTCCCAGCCACAGAACCAGAGGGAGTCCCCAGGTAGATGGTTCCAAGAAGGGAGTTGAATCTTGGGTTCCACCTCTTGCCTGTGACCCACGGGGACCCCAGTTTATGCCTCACTGTTCCTTGGTCTGTCAAGAGAGCCTGAAATAGCATTAGGTTCTCCTGTCCTTCTCAGTCCTTGACAATTAATTCTGGGAAGAATAGTGTGGCATGATATTTGGGATATTTGGATGTTAACAGGGTCCCGATGAGCAGGTTTCTCAAGAAATTATCTTTTATTCTTCAATGAATTTCCTTTTATTCTCTGCACTCCCACCCCCCAACTAAGAAGCTATCAGGAAGCTCTTTAAGTTCAGGTTAATTTGCTGGAGACATGAGTACTCATATATCAAACACTGGGAGAATTTAAGATCTCAGAAAAGTTTAGCTTCAAGGATGTATACACTGCTTTTACGTCTTAGGAAATAACACCTAGGAATTTCCTTACAAGTGCAACTTTACAGAAATTTTTAAAAATATGCATACTCACTTTTAGAACATTACTACTTCTCATAATCCTATGTATATACATGATATGTATATGTATACGTGTTTATATATGCAAATTTTAAATTTCATTCCTTGTTTCAAATGGATTTTCTCGAAGATTTTTTTTTTTTGACACTGTCTCTGTCAGCCAGACTGGAGTGCAGTGGCGCGATATTGGCTTACTGCAACCTTCGCCTCCCAGGCTTAGCGATCCTCCCACCTCAGCCTCCTGAGTAGCTGGGACTACAGGCATACGCCACCACACCTGGTTAATTTATTTTTTTGTAGAGATGGGGTTTTTGCCATGTTGCCCAAGCTGGTCTTGAACTCCTGGGCTCAAGTGATCCACTCACCCTGGCCTCCCATACTGCTGGTACTACAGGCATGAACCACCGTGCCTGGCCAATATTTTTTTTTAAAGAAATAAAAAACCACCAACTTCTACCTCAAACCACTCTTCCTAATTGAGTGTGAATTTTCTAATAATGTCTTCCCTTTGCTTACTCAGGAAGACAGATAAGAAAGTTTATAGTGTTTTTTGAAAGTCTATAATGGCAACAAGTAGAATGCTAACTGGCTGTAGAAAGAATTTATTAAGAAATGAAACATAATGATGCATTTCAGGAGTCTGCTTGCTTGTTTAGGGGAAGTGCCCAGTCATGCTGGGCTGTGTACTGGCCCAGATGTAGGAGTGTCTTTAAAGAGGGCATTTTATTTACTTATTACATTTTTATTTATTTTTTTTTTACTTTTTGAGACAGAGTCTCACTCTGTTGCCCAGGCTGGAGTGCAGTGGCGTGATCTCAGTCCACTGCAACCTCCACCTCATGGGCTCAAGTAATTCTCGTGCCTCAGACTCCTGAGTAGCTAGGTTTACAGGTGCGTGCACCACCACGACCAGCTAATTTTTGTATTTTTAGTAGAGATGGGGTTTCACCATATTGGTCAGGCTGGTCTCAAACTCCTGACCTTGTGGTCCACCAGCCATGGCCTCCCAAAGTGCTGGGATTACAGGTGTGAGCCATCGCGCCTGACCTATGTGTTTTATTTTAATAGGTTTTGGAGGACAGGTGGTGTTTGGTTACATGAATAAGTTCTTTAGTGGTGATTTGTAAGATTTTGGTGCACCCATCACCTGAGCATGTATGCTGTACCCAATGCGTTGTAAGATTTTGGTGCACCCATCACCTGAGCATGTATGCTGTACCCAGTGCGTAGTCTCTTTTCCCTCACCCACCTCGCACCCTTTCCCCTGAGTCCTCAGAGTCCATCGTGCCGTTCTTATAAAGAGGGCATACTTTTAGGAAGGTTTTTCAATGTGATTTCTACATCCACAGGGTCTTTGCTAACTCAGTCTAAGCCAAGAACAGGAAAATCTTGACAATTAATCATGCTCTGCCTCTGGAAGACACATTTCAAGTAAACTCGTGTTATTTCTAGCTATTGGTGACTTATCCAAGGGTCTGAGTGGTCTTGGAGGGAGCAGGGGAACTAGAGTCCCATAAGGACTCCTTCACGCCATTCTCAACATCTATCCATACCCCATCTGCCCCTCAACACTATAGGAAATACAAAAATGAGGGAGATATAGTCCTGACACTTAAGCAACTTATAACCTGGTGAGGAGGAGAAAAACATAGATATAAATATAGTAATACCAGTCAGAGTGTGGTAAGATCTACGGAGCGTTGGGCTATCAGAGAAGGCTTCATGAGGATGACATGTAAAGGGAGCCCCAAGGGACCAGTAAATTTCCATCAATGAGATTCCAGGGAGAGAGACCCCAATGAGCCAAAACACAGGAGTGCCTTAGGGAGCAGCAGGTGGTCCAATGTGCTCCTGCCCTGGACAGGGAGGGTGGGGATATGGGGAATTCAAACTGGAAAGTTAGGATGAGGTAAAATGAATCATCTAAGGCATTAGGCATTTTTAGTCTGTATATTGCTGGGCCCTGGGATGTGGTCAGAAAGAGAATTCTCCTAGTGATAACTTCTTAACTTCACCTAGTAGGCAATAAAGAACTACAAGAAAATTTAAAACTACCATTTATAAAGTAACTTCTATGTGCCAGATATGTGTCCTATTGTAATCTTCATAGCCACTTTGCAGTATGGATATCATGAACCCCTAGATGAAGCAAGAACCCAAAACTCAGACTCGCACAGGCAGTGAGAGTGCCAGGGTTTGAACCTGGTCTCCCTGGATTGTTCTGTTTCTGTTCATTGCAAACAGGGTCAGCGCTTTATGGAGATGATACTGGCATAGAGTGGAGAGAGATCAGGTGCACAGAGACAGGTCATGAGGCTCTTAAAATAGTCCAATCACAAGGCAAATGAGGACCCAGTGGCCAAAGACAATGACAGGGGTCAAGTTTCTGGAATCAACAGGAATTTCTAGGCATCACTCCAGGGTAAGAAACCATCTCATCACAGACTTTTTCTCCAAGAGGAACCTAGTCTTGAAACAAATCAGACTTTTTATTCCTCAGGGTAAGAGTTCTCTAATGAAATCAGACTGTCAACAGATGCAATTTCTAGCTGATTCATAAGGGCAGATTTTCATTCTGAAAATTTCCAAAGCCACCATTTAACATGGCAAGGGTTTATGAGGACATATTAGTCAACTTGAGTGTTTTTAGTCTCTATATTACTGGGCTCTGGGATGTGGTCAGAAAGAGAATTCTCCTGGTATTACCAATATGGCACGTTATTGAAGGCACCTTTCTCAGAACTGTGGAAATTCTGAGAGCTTGTATGTCCCTTGATCATCTTTCTTTCATTCTAGGAATTCTGTGATCAAATCTTTATCCTCTAGACTCAAAAATAATTCTTTAAAAAAACAGTGTGGAAACCCATTGAGATAATGTGTTTGTGTAATTATCCATTCTTGTAAAGACAACTGCCCACAATGGAATTTCCCATCTTCACCTTTGTCAGTCAAACACAAAATGTTTAACCCTTCACATTTAATCTTTCAACTTCTTGAGATCCCAAAGTATTATTGCTACTGTTACTTCATTCATCTTCAAGACATGTCTTGAGGCTGTAAGGGCTTTCCTAAACATTGGGAGCTCTTCATAAGACAGTTGCTACTTTCCTTAAAACAGCATGCCTTAAATAGGCAGTTTGATAAATCACCTGTGCATATACTTCATTTTAGATGTGAGAATTGAAAAAGAAAAAAATTGACTTCACAATTCTGCACCAAAAGAATGAGTTTCACGAATGCGTCAGTTAGAGGTGCTAATATAGAACGGTTGCTGAGCTCTAAAACTCCACTACTCCACCCCACTCCCCTGATAGAGAAGTATTCCCAGACTGGTTTTTGCCTAAAGCCTTGGGTATTCTGAATACCTCTTTGTGATTTTTTTTTCTCTTCCTTTTTGAGACAGGGTCTCACTCTGTCACTCAGGCTGGAGTGCAGTGGCGAGATATTGGCTCACTGCAACCTCTGCCTCCCGGGTTCAAGTGATTCTCCTGCCTCAGCCTCCCCAAGTAGCTGGGATTACAGGCACCTGCCACCACGCCTGGCTAATTTTTGTATTTTTAGTAGAGACGGGGTTTCACCAAGTTGGCCAGGCTGGTCTCGAACTCCTGACCTCAGGTGATCTGCCCACCTTGGCCTCCCAAAGCACTGGGATTACAGGCATGAGCCACCGCACCCAGTCCTCTTTGTGACTTTTTTGTTGGAGTCATTCTTCTGCGAGCTATGGATATCATCAAGGCAGGCAGTCCCTCAACGTGGCAGCTGTTCCCACCCTTCCCTGCTCCTCTTCTTGCCCAAGGATGAGCAGAAACTTTACAGAAAAAGAGAGAATTCCCTCAGGAAATGAGGCATGTTGCTTGAGGTCACAGGGAATAGAATTAGCAGGAAAATAAACCTTGCAGGAAGCAGAAAGTGGGCCAAAGCACTGAGGAGAGGACACGGGGAGGGCGTGAGTTTTTGACAGATTTCTCTCTGTAAAATGAGGAGGTCACCCAGGGATCTTGAAACTCCCTTCCAGTTCCTTCACTCTATGTCAAGGATTCCAGAAAGGAAATAAAATAAGCTCTGCTTAAAAGGCATTTTCAAGCTGGGGAACTTTGGGATGAAAAAGTTTCCCAAATGAAGACATACTGGCACGGTCAGGGTTGAGCGACTTTTGTGTATCAATGCACCCAAGCCTGATGTCTCATTGTGGGTTATTTCCAGCTCTGAAGAAGTACTGCCTGGCAGCCAGCATGACCCACTGCTTCTGTAATTGCTGCAGTTGCAGGTGTCAACGCAAAAACTCCACTCACTCAATTCTCAAAATCTATCCAATATCTCTCATGCCCCTTTTCAATACTATAGGAAATGTAAAAATGAGCGACATAGTCCTGATCCTTAAGAGAGTCATAAGTTGGTGAGGAGGAGAAAGGCATAGATATAGTCATGGTAACACAAGTCATATGTGGTAAGATCTACTGAGCATGGGGCTATCAGAGAAAGCTTCATGAGGGTGACATGGAAAGGGAGCCCTGAGGGACTGGTAAATTTCCATCAGTGACATTCCAGGGAGAGAGGCCCCAAGACACAGGGGCAGCAGGTGGTCCACTGTGCTCCTGCCCTGGACAGGGAGGGCGGGGTCCTCTGCTGTTTGTTTGCTTGTGTAGGAATTTTCCCCTCAAACAATGTCCTTGTCTCCCATGGGAGAAGTTTTACATGAGTGGGAACCTGTTTCTCTTCTCTATCCCAGGCCATTCCCTGAGAGAAGAGAAAGGGGAATCTTTTTTTTTTTTGGACAGTTTCGCTCTGTCGCCCAGGCTAGAGCACAGTGGTGCAATCTCAACTCACTGCAACCTTCAGCTCCTGGGTTCAAGTGATTCTCCTGCCTCTGTCTCCTGAGTAGCTGGGATTACAGGTGTGCACCACCATGCCTGGCTCCTTTTTTGTAATTTTAGTAGAGAGGGGGTTTTTGCTATGTTGCGTAGGCTGGTCTTGAACTCCGAGCCTCAAGCCATCCATCTGCATGGGCCTTCCAAAGTGCTGGGATTACAGGCATGAGCCACTGTGCCCAGCTGAAAAGAGAATCTTAATTCAGTTGATTACTTCTAAAAGTTATAAGACCTTCTTCACTGAAAGAGTTCACATAGAAGCTGAACTTGAATCCAGCCCTCTTAAATTTCAGTTCAATATTCCCTGCACATCTGCACATCTTTACATGAATTCTCAGTGATATTCCTTCATCCATCCATTCATGCATGAGGATTACAGAGATGAAGAAAGTTCCAGCTCTTATCCTCTTGTGCTCACAGTTTAACACGGGAGATGAAACTGCTGCTGAATGGCTCCCATTCTGAAGTCAGCCAACAGTGTTTGCCAATAGCCCCCACTGAATACCCCACCATATTCTCAAGTAACTCACTCATTTAGGGGAAAACAATAATATAATTGTCTCTAGAAATTTTAGGTATTCTCCACTCTAAGATTACTCAGTGTTTTGACTGATCTCAAGGCGACTCCGTGGTTTGCTTCTGTCAAAAAGAAAACACAGTTCCCACTGGGAAATGTGTGGAGAGTAATGGTTCAAAACGCCAGCTGTACATTAGTGTATATCCAGGATGCTTTAAAAAGTGATGGCCAACCCCTACTGGGAAGTGAGGAGCCCCTCTGCCCGGCCAGCCGCCCCGTCCGGGAGGGAGGTGGGGGGAGTCGGCCCCCCCGCCCGGCCAGCCGCCCCGTCCGGGAGGTGGGGGGCGCCTCTGCCCGGCCGCCCCTACTGGGAAGTGAGGAGCCCCTCTGCCCGGCCACCACCCCGTCTGGGAGGTGTGCCCAACAGCTCATTGAGAGCGGGCCAGGATGACAATGGCGGCTTTGTGGAATGGAAAGGCGGGAAAGGTGGGGAAAAGATTGAGAAATCGGATGGTTGCCGTGTCTGTGTAGAGAGAGGTAGACATGGGAGACTTTTCATTTTGTTCTGCACTAAGAAAAATTCCTCTGCCTTGGGATCCTGTTGATCTGTGACCTTACCCCCAACCCTGTGCTCTCTGAAACATGTGCTGTGTCCACTCAGGATTAAATGGATTAAGGGCGGTGAAAAAAAAAAAAAAAAAAAAAAAAAAAAAAAAAAAGTGATGGCCAAGACTCATAAGATGAATTAAGCGGACTCTCTGGGGAACAGAACCGAACATCACAATACCTTCCCTTCCAGTTCCTTGAATACTTCCAAATCGCACTTAGGATTGAAACTCACCAAATTAGAGAGATGGAATAATGATTTCCATGGTTGGTCTGATTCACTAGGAACAGGTATGCTCAAGCAGTACTTCTCAACCTTTAATGCATTTAGAAATCATCCAGGGATCTTGTCACGGAGCAAATTCTGACTCGGGAGGTCAGGGGTTACCGCCTAAGATTCTGGTGCAAACAGGTTCCACAGGAGGCCTATGTTGTGGGTGCATGAACCCCATTTTGAGTAACAAGGCTATCAAGTCAGAGAATAAATACGCATTGCTTTTACCCACACAGAACTTGCGACTGAAATGAGAAAATAGGCTGAGTGTGATAGCTCATGCCTGTAATACCTGCACTTTGGGAGGCCAAGGCAGGAGGATCCCATGAGCCCAGGAGTTCAAAACCAGCCTGGGCAACATAGTGAGACTCTGCCTCTTAAAAAAAAATTAGAAAAAGGGAAAACCAATCTGGGAAAGATCAAATATTGATCAAACATTGCAAATAATGCCATAAATGATCAGAATAGGGAGAGTAACATGCTACCTGGAGAACTAGAAAAAAAATTCTCAGAGAAGGTGGCCCTGGGACCTCCTGGCTCTGAATGGTGGTTCTGAATATCAGGAGAGGGGCTGGAGAATGGTGTTTTCTAGTGATGCTGCTGGAGTCGTGTACATGGACCGTGTTCCATGAGTAGTGAGCTGACCAATTAGAGAGATGAGGGGTTTGCCAGGACAACTACATAATGAGCCATATTTCAACATACATGAAGTTTTGTGTGTGTGTGCCAAGCAAATGAGTCTCAGATTCTCGGACAAAAACGAATACTTTTGCTCAGACAGACAGCATGTGAGTGCTTCTCCCCCAGCTTCAACCCTGCAGTGTCTACAGGTGTCATTGGTCCCCGGTAGACGTCCTCGGTTCAATGGGTCACTGATCACTTATCACCAGCACCACATGACCCTGGATGGCAGCCAAAGAGTTCCTGGGTCTTGTTTCCCTACCTCCACATTTTTTTCCTGACCCAGCCCGAGCCACGTGCACACCACAGGGCTGGAGTCCCAGTGCTTTTGTCCTGACAGCCCATTCTCCCACTCCCACACCCAACCAGTTCCCCGGGGGGTTTTTGACCAGCAGCTCCGCCTGCAGCCCTCGACCCGGATCCAGGCATCCTGCTTAAGGAGGGGTTCAGGTGGCAGGAAACTCCAGGGCAACAAAGTGTGGGTGGCATGGGTGGGGTTGACCGGAAGGTCACTGTGCTGGGAGGAAGAGGAACGGGTGGAGGGAAGGCAAGATACGGATCAGGAGTATTGACATCCTGTGCCAGTAGAGGGGCCTGCCCCATGGTGGAAGGTGTGGCCGGATGAGCTCGCTGGCCCATGTCCCCCCGTTTCCCAGGCTTTTTCCTCCCACGCTGTATGCAGTGCAAGAACAAGCTGGTGCAATTGGACTAGCAGCAATTGAGTCCTTTTACCCAAAAGAAGAAGAAAGAGCAATGTTTCAAAAGAATAAAAAGGAAGCTGCAGCCAGGTGCAGTGGCTCATTCCTGTAATCCCAGCACTTTGGGGGGCCAAGAGGGGAGGATCCCTGGAGCCCAGGAGTTTGAGACCAGCCTGGGCAACATAGTGAGACCCCACCTCTATTTTTTAAAATGATAATTAATTTTAAATAAGGAAGTTTGTGAAAGCCATTGGTTTCTTTATTCTAAAGAGCGTGGAAAATAGGACAGTCTCCAACAGGCCCTGATTTCCTTTGGTAAGAAAATGAGCAAAGCTATAGACTAGGAAACATGACTGGTTAAAGCCGGCCCATGCACCAACTCCGATACTGATAGTTATGTTTCCTTTCGTTCTTATTTGCTTCAAGCTTTGTTCCAGAAAACATTTGAACACTAGCTAGAACCACCACAGTGAATATCCATTGCCTAAATGCTATCTTTCAGGTATTATGTTCAGACATAGTATTACTTTGGTTAATTCTCAAAATAAAGTAGGTCATATGATTATCCCCATTTTCTGCCTGGTGAACTGTGGTTAAATGGGCTTACAGAGATTAAATGGGTTGCCTGATGTAGCCCAACGAGGAAGGGGCTAGGATAGGAAGCAGGCGCTCTCATTCCAGAACCTGCCTTTTTTCCTCCTGTCTAAACTGCTGCTAAAGGTCAAAGACAAAGGTGCCATGTGAGCAGGGAAGTTATTTTTGTTTTTTACAAAGGTGAAGTAATAGGCTGTGAGTAATGCCCACTGCTCCTTCAGCCCCAGGTACATGCAGTGAGGCGGTACCCACAGAGCCGCGTGGCACTCCTCAACCTGCTAGAGCAGCCGGCCTCCTGCAGGATGGCTTAAGGACCACCTGGTCCTTGGGGTCTGGGTTCTCCGGGTCCTGCTGTTCCCTGCAGCCTTCCTTCTACCCCCAGAGCAGCTTGGGGGCATCTTTAGAGAAAGCGGCAGTGTCGCACCTGCCCCAGCAGCCACAAAACAGAGGAAATTCTGAGCACCTCCGGGCGTGAGTCACCATACCACATTCAGGAATTGCCACCTCTGCCCACAGAATCACCCACTCTTTTCTGTTTGGGACCAAAATAGATACCTCCTTCAGAAGCCGCTGCTTTCTGTACTCTCAGCAATAAAAAAACAAAGGCTAGGATAGGTGTGTGCCTCTGAGGCGTGAGGGGGGGCGCGTTTTCTCCCCTGGGAAGGTTTTCAGAGAGAAGTTGTTGCTACAGCAGTACAGGCAGCTGATGGGTTGAGGGTACAGGAGGAAGAGGGAAAGTCAGGGAGATTGGAGACAACCTCTTGTGTGGTAGGACTTCCGGCTATTGGTTTGTTCATTCCTTTGTTCATTCATTCATTCAGCAAATGTTCATTGAGGAACTGCTATGTGTCAGGCACAGGGTTTGAGACACAGAGATGAATAAGAGCCCATCCTTGACCTCTGCACAGACAATTATGACACAGGCTAAGTGCTGAGATACAAGTTTAAAGAAGGAGTCGATGGAACACACAGATCGATGTTCATTACCCCTGCAAAACCCAGCACATCTCACATCAGGGACTGCCTCATTCACATCATGTTAGATGTGACAGAGAGGACAGCAGAGAGCGTTGTTTTGTCATCAACTACTAAAATTATTAAAACCAAACACCACTAATTTTGAACTTCAGGTAGACAGAGGATGTAGAGTTTTCCTTTGCTCAAGAAATTCCTTTACAGAGAAAATGGGAACATTTCAAGTGGGAGTATTTCAATTCCTTTAATAACAACCTGTTTTCTAGCTCCCACATTCCCCAAGTATTCTAGAAGCACCTTTCATAATGGACAGCTCTGACCAACTGCCCCACACACATGCATGTGAACCGTTCTCCAATCCTAAAAGTCTGTGACTTCTCCAAGGAAAGGAGGAAGGAATCGTATTAGTCCAGTTTACATTATTATATACTTTGTAGCAAAGCAGCAATGTTTCCTTAAAAAATTCTATATATATATATATATATATATATAGCTGGGCATGATGGCTCACGTCTGTAATCCCAGCACTTTGGGAGGCTGAGGCGGGCAGATCACCTGAGGTCAGGAGTTCGAGAACAGCTGACCAACATGGTGAAACCCCGTCTCTACTAAAAATACAAAAGTTAGCCAGGTGTGGTGGCACATGCCTGTAATCCCAGCTACTCAGGGAGGCTGAGGCAGGAGAATCCCCTGAACCTGGAGGCTGAGGTTGCAGTGAGCCGAGATTGAGCCACTGCACTCCAGCCTGGGTGACAGAGGGAAACTCCGTCTCAAAAAAAAAAAGAAAAAAAATATATATATATATATATATATATTTGTGTGTATTTTCTCCTCATGAAATGAGCTCCTTGAAGCAAATCGGCCCATCTTTTCAGAGAAAGATCAGTTTATTACGTCACCAAGTAAAGGGCAAAGGAATCATTTCTAAAAGTTTCGTTTGAAGTCCCCGGAGTTAAAGTTGACGTCAGCCTCTTCCTGCCCTGGTGCCCCGAGAGTTTCCCGGGAGTTTTGGGGATGACACCCGGCTGCATGCGTGACATCTCGCTGGCTGGGGGCAGGCCTGGTGGCTTCCCCGACAATGAAACCAGGCAGAGCCTGCAACCCAGCTGAGCACCAGTGTGGTCTCTGCTTCCGGTCCTTGTGGTAGCACCTCTGTTTACAGCCTGATTTAGAACAAAAAGAACTTTTGTAAAGGAGAAAACTCCTTATATTAAATGGAAAGCAAAACAAACAATTACCAAAAAAAAAAAAAAGTTGGAGGGGTGTTTCAGAATAAAAGAGCCGTCTCTCCAGACATCTGTCTGACGCCCAGGTGGCGCTGAGACCACAGGGTGAGCCTTTTGGCTGGAGATGTTGATCCCTGGTTTACTGCACTTCGGGCTTTCACTACCTTTCACCCACCGGACCATCAGTTTCACTTTCCCTCTCCCAGCGTCTCTCAAGCTCTGCTTCTCTGGCCCCGTTTTCAATCTAGTGCAAGAGGACCTGTAGCCAGGGCACCCATCCTCCTCCTCCTCGTCCTGCACTGGGATCCCAGCTCTGAGCACTCCCGGGCCAGGGAGGCCTTGCTGCGTGCTCTGCTTCTGTGATCTTACAGATTCCTCATGGCCACCATAGGAGATGGGGACTGTTAGCACTATTCCCCCACCCCAACCACCTTTTTTTTGAGACAGAGTCTCACTCTGTTGCCCAGACTGGAGTGCAGTGGTATGATCTCGGCTCACTGCAACCTCTGCCTCCCGGGTTCAAGAGATTCTCATGCCTCAGCCTCCCCAGTAGCTGGGATTACAGGCATGCCCCATCGCCATGCCTGACTAATTTTTGTATTTTTAGTAGAGACAGGTTAGTAGAGACCATGTTGGCCAGGCTGGTCTCAAACTCCTGACCTCAATTGATCCACCAGTCTCAGCCTCCCAAAGTGCTGGGATTACAGGCTTGAGCCACCACGCCCTGCCACCATTCCCATTTTACGGATGAGGAAACTGAGACCATGAGGCAGTAATTCACTCTCCCAAGAAAGCAAGGAGCCAGTAGATCTGAGCAGAACCCATGCATTCAGGCCGACACAGGAAGCAAGCTGTCAACAGGCACTGTTCATCTCCTGGGCTGCCTAGGCAGGCCCTGAAGCTCTGGTTTTCAGTCACCCTGTTATTCATCCCCAAGTTAATCTCCCCTGAAAGCACCTGTCGTGATGCCCTTTCGGCTGCAAGAGCTCCAGTCATTTCCATTGCCTCAGGGGCACTTTGCTACCTCCTCTGCCTGGCACACAACATGCTCCCCAGCCAAGACTGTTCCCTCAGCACATAGCACGCCTTGGCCAGCAGGTCTCCTCCTGTCCTTCAAAGGGAACCTCCTCATTTGTGATTTCAAAGCTGGACTCCCAGGAACACCCTCCTCCCTTACTGGAACAATCTTCCCCATCTTGTCTGCCTACCGGAATTTTTCCCAACCAGAAAAGCGTCTTGAGAGAATGGAAAAGTCTTATGAATTTGGAAAGTTGACAGCTTGAATTCAAATCCTAGCTTGAACTTGTGAATTTCTACTTTCCTTTACGAAAACCTTTGCATGCCATTCTGTGCAGGCACTAGCAAGGTGGTGGGAGGGAGATGGATACAGTAGGGTGAGTGCCGTGTAAAGAAAAGGGAGCAAAGTCTGGGACTGCAGAGAAATGCCACAAAGCACAGACAGAAGAGTCCCGGAGGCTTCCCAGAGAAAGATGACAGCCAATGGGAGACCTCCAGGGAAAGCAGGAGTTAAGAAGGTAGAAATGCATTAGGGAAGTGTGGCATGAGCATGATGGTCAATTTCAATGTGTCCACTTGCCTGGGCTAAGGGATGCCCAGATAGCTGGCTAAACAGTCTCTCTGGGGGTGTCTGTGAGGGTATTTCCAGGAGACACTAGCATTTGAATTGAATAGACTGGGTAAATTTCTTGTTGGTAGACTGAGTAAAGAAAATCACCCTCACCAGTGTGGTGGGGATCATCCAACCATAGAGGACCAGAATAGAACAAGAAGGCAGAGGAAGGTTGCATTCTCTCTGTTCAAGCTGGGACATCCGTCGTCTGCTCTTGGACATTTGCACTCCTGGTTCTCCAGCTTTTGGACTCTGGGACTTACAGCAGGGCCCCTCTGCTCCTCAGGCCTTCAGTCTTAGACTGAGCCACACCACCAGCTTTCCTAGTTATCCAGCTCCAGCTGGCATATTGTGGGACTTCTCAGCCTCCATAATTGAGTGAGCCAACTCCCATTATAAATATTCTCTTATTTATCTACATACATCCTATTGGTTTTGTTTCTCTAGAGAAATTCTGTTTCCCTGAATAATACAATGACCAAGGCCCAAGACAAAACACATGGTGAGCTCCAAGAGCCACGCAGAGTCCCGCAAGGCAGGAGAGCTCAGGCACATAGTGGAAGCAGAGATTTTGAAGTTGGGCATGAGCTGTGTCTTGGAGTCTCCCCATGTCACTGGGCTTAAACTGTGTCCTGGAAGGAACAGAACATCCCAGAGGGGTCTCAGTCAGGGCATGGCTTGTACTTTGGAGAGACAGCATTGGGTTTATGTGAAGAATGAAGGAAGAAGAGAAAGCACTGGGTTTATGTGAAGAATGAAGGGAAGCAGAAAGGCAAACCCATAGGGCATTGAGTAACCTCCATGGAAGTCCATGAGGGTAGGGTTTTAACCTCGGTGGGCCTCAGCTTCTGTTCGTATAAAATGGGAATAACACAGACCCTGCTGGGTGCTGTAAGGCTACATAAGCTAGCCTGCCTAGAGTGACCAGAGCACACAGTAGGTGCTCACTAAATGTGACTTGCTGGGCTTCTAGTCTGCATGGCCAAAGGCCCTTCCCTCGGACCTTTCCGTGTGGATGCCTCACAGGCTGCTCAGTCTACACATCCAGAACTGTCCTCCCTCCCTGGAACCTACTCTTTCTCCTCTCTTTGCTATCTCAATGAATGGCACCCCATCCTCCCCATCGCCCAGGAAATCTGGGCAAAATCCTCATTTCTTCCTTGCTGTCCTCCATGCACCTAATAATCCAGCCTCAATTTTTGGCAATTCCAACTTCTAAAATCTCTTAACGCCAGCAACCCCTCTTCTTGCTTACTTATCACCACCCACCTCAGGACTCCCATGACAGCCTTCCTGTGATGCATGACGGGCACATGACAAGGGCAGTTGAGGGTCAGGGGCCACGGGAGCAGGATGCAGCCAGCACATGAGGGAGGATAGGCGGGAGGACAGGCAGACACTTGTGCGTAAGAGCACGCACTTGTCAGGCTGCCTGGGTCCAAGTCCTAGCTCCACCACTGAGGGGCTGTGTGTCTCTGGGCAAGTCACTGGGCCTCTCTGTGCCTTAGTTCCTGCCTCTAGAGAACGGAGATGAGAAGAACACATCACCTCATAATTAATTACTGCATAAGTAATAATTTTAATTATATTGACTATTATACTCTATTAGTGTATGATGTCTTTTATTATATATATTTATCATATAATATACTAATTATATTAATGAGTATACTATAGTATTTTATATAACATACCCTAATTGCTTATTATATATCTGTATAATTATTTTATCATATAAGATAATTTCATAAGCTAAGATGGTATTTTATATATTTCATTTATTATATATTTATATTTATATACTTTATTGTATTTGAATTGTGATGTCTAATAAAATAATAGATACGTTAATTATCCTTCATATTCATAATAAGCTCCTTCATTGGTGTCTGGGAAGCCGAGAACATTTGTGCGTGTGAGCTCTCCTGTGTGTTCGGCATGCAGTGTGTTGCGTCTCAGCTGACGTGATTGCTGTTTTTGGTGGCCCGGAGGCACAGGGTGCATGCTACAGGCAGGAAGAGCTTTGGAGCAGGCTGACTCCTGAGCTCTCCTCTGGTGCCGTGGCTTCTGAGGCCCCCAGGTGACAACCAGCCTTTGCCATTCTAGTGTTTCCTCTATGTTCATCCCGCGTTCTGAGTGTGGCACAGGCCACACTCCTGACCCCACCAGCATCAGGTGCTGTGCACATGGTATGAGGTCGGGATGGAGTGCTGTTGGCATGGGGGTTGTTCCTTGGGCTACCTGTGTCCACATGGTCTGATTAACCCCTTCTGCACATCAGCAAGGGTTCAGCACCTCCTCAGGGTTAGGGCATGCGCAGGGCATGCAGGGATTTGAGGGTCCTTGGACAATGCATGTTCTCCATGCAAGCATGCAGAGACATGGAGAGGGTCTTTGTCCCTTTCAGTCCTAACATTCTGTGGCTTCATAACTACTTGTCCCACACCCGAGTAAAAAGCAGGATCTTCTCAGCACTGTGCTGAGGAAGTCTTTAAACCTTCCAGTAGGACATGGGATCCCTGCCTGCATCTTAAGTTCCCATGTCCTTAGGAAACGTGGCCACCTTGGAATTCAGCTCTCCAAGAAGCCCAGTGTGAATGCCCATTGCAGGAGCATCTGAGCTCACCCCCACTAACCCTGAGGTATCTGTTGAAAAGAATAGAACCCACCCACTGAAACTATCAGAGATCAAATGTTGTGTGTTGACTAAGAATTTGTGTTAAGGCAGGGATAGTTGAGCACCAATGCTTTCAAGGAACTCTGGAGAAATGCAAGCCTGTATTTCCTCTCAGCATGGCTGCAGAAGAGGGCCAGGGCAGCAGACAGGCATTTTGACCCACTCACAGATGAATACAAAGACTAAACTCAGCAAAAGCCTTGAGGTTGCATTTATGTGTCTGAGAACAGTCCCTGGAGCACAGGCATGGGCTTTTGGTACCACGTAACCTACAACCGTAAGCTCTCTGCTCTATGCTGTCCACTCCATCAATCCCACAGTGCCTGAAATGTCATTGTCTTACCCGATGTCTGGGGTAGCATCTGTGAACACACGGATTTGACACTTTTATGATGCTGTTTGTCTCTACTGAACCCTTCTTAAGCAAAATCACAGTAGACTAGCAGATCATGGTAGTATCTGAAAGCGCCAGGACCCCAGAACCTCAATCAGTGCTCCCCACTTCCCATGGTTTTCTCCCTGTGTTTCCACATTTGGATTGTCATTGTCTGTGAAAAGGCATGATCCCTGTCAACAACACACAGTGTATGCAATGTGTGTCTTGTGTAAAACGGAGTGTGAATTCTTGAGAGCAGGAAGGAAAAGGGGTACAAGAGGTTCCCCTGCGAGATGGGTGAGGAGCAGGGCAGAGTGAGCCTGGCTGCTGGGAACCCCTGAGGAGAGCTCTGGAGAGGGTTCTGGACACGTGGGCTTGGTCAGCCTGACAATTAGGATTTGTGTTAACAGGACCGGCCCTCACCTGACACCAACTGGACTGAGGTTCCCAGGAGAAACTCTTAGCATCATGACTTTGGAGGTTGCCATCATTTTTGATGACTTTTTCTTTTTCCTTCTTTTCTGTTTCCCTCTTGTCAAGTTTCTACCTGTAAGTTATACTTACTTATTCTGTGTTTCTTTACAGTCTCAGGGGAAATTCCGTTGAGTTGAAAATTTCCTCAGCTCCTCGCTCCAGTTTCTCAGAAGAGTCTCTCTCCTTGCAGAAAAGACTGTGGGTGGGAGTCACCAATTTAGCATATTTCTACTAAAAATATGACTCCATCCCAAGAAATTGGTTTTAAAGATTTGAGGAAAAACTGCTTTTAGATTTCAGAGAAAGAAAAAGAGTGTGTTTCTACTTCCCCCTTTTAAATCTGATAACTTTTATTTTAATCAGGTTGACATTCTGTGGTGAGCTTGTGGTTAACTCTTTCATGCCCGGAAGCCTGTTGTCGACCGAGAAGACTCCCAGGATTAGAACATAACCAGCGCCCAACATTTCATTTGCAGAAGCATCTGAGGTCCCAAAATGTGATGGTTTAGCGGCAGCTGCTTGTAGGGGTATTTTTGGTTTCCTGCTTCTTTTTTCCCTTCTAAGTAAAGACAAAATAACTAGATCCCTCCACCCCACCACCCCATCATTTCGTTGTTGTTTAACAAGTGTTGAGTAAGGCACAGTTGTTCTCCAAAAGGGTCTTACCCTGTGAGTTACTCATTTTAGGGTTACGGAAACTCTGACTATTTGACCCAGTCAACCAGGCCTCAGAAACTGTGGGTCAGATAACAAATAACTCATGGTGCTTCTGTGCTAATTACTGCAGAGATGTGTCCAAGTGCTCGGAGATCTCCTCCTTGAAGCCAAGGTCTCCTCCTTGAACCACACCGCCTTCTTCTCCTTTCCCGAGGGAATCAGGCAACTTTTCTTTGATGACAGCAACTTCCTTAAATCCCCCAAGCCCTGAGACAGGCACTTTACTTCTCCCACATTTCCTTCAACATTTGTGCTTGCTGAATGAAACAAGGAAGGTGAATGTTTGCTTGAATGAACCAATCAATGGGTAACAGCACCAGTGCTAATGCTAATACACTCAACTACTCATTCAGAACCTACCATGGCCCAAGGCTTGTGCTCTGCTCTTGGGTGCTGATCCAGCAAAGAGTGGGTGGAGGGGGAGTGGGAGGTGAAGTCCCTATACCACCACTTATATTTTGCACTGTCTTATTTTTTCCTCTGGTCACATGCATACATAAATTTTATATCTCTGTAATTATGCCATTTAAAAATCTTCCTACTGAGGTAGAAGTTGGGACTCAACCCCCGAGGCAGGGCTCAGACATCGGACAAAATTGAGGACTAGCAAAAACAGGATTGGGGCAGAAGCAGCTTTCCATAAGACATGCTCATGAGTGTGCCATGTCAGTTTACCATTGCCATGGCAACACCCAGGCGTTCCTGCTCCTTTCCATAGCAGTGACCGGATGACCCAAAAGTTACTACCCCTTCCCTAGAAATTTCTGCAAACTGCCCCTTAAACTGCGTGTAATTAAAAGCAGATATAAATATGAATGCAAAACTGCCCTGACCTACTACTCTCTGCCTATGTGGTCGCCCTGCTCTACAGAAGCAGTCACGGAGCTGTAGCACAGCCGGAACTATAACATTGCCACTTCAATAAAGCTGTTTTCTTTTATTCTACCACTGGCTTGCCCCTGAATTCCTTCCTGGGCAAAGCCAAGAACCCTTGCGGGCTAAGCCCCACCTCGGGGCTCGCTTGTCCTGCATCACTACCACCTTCTCTAGGAAGATGCTCTAGGCTTAATCATTGTGTTGAATTCAGCTGCTGAGGACTGAGAGGTGATTTGGATGATTGACTTCATAAATAAAATTGGGAGTTAGACTTTCCCCGCTGTGGACTTGCCACTGAGTTTGGGGAGAGGGGGGTTTCTTTCTCTGATAAAGTTCCACATCCACAGACAGAAGGAAAAGGCCCTGAACTAATCACTTCCTTTGGAAGAAGCTTTGGTAAAGAATTAACATTTGGGAGGTTGTCAAGAAAAACCTATTTGTTCTATAAATATTTAAAAATTATTAAAATTTCAACCAATACAGAAAAACACAAAGATTAATATAACCAACATGTGCCCATCATCAGGATTCAGTAAATGTTTACAGTTTACCTTGGTTGTTTCATGTCCTTTTTGTTTATTTTAAATACATGCTCTTGTCGTGCGTGATGGCTGATGCCTGTAATCCCAGCACCTTGGGAGGCCGAGGCAGGTAGATCACCTGAGGTCAGGAGTTCAAGACTAGCCTGGCCAACATGGTGAAACCCCATTTCTACTAAAAATACAAAAATTAGCCTGATGTGATGCAGGCGCTTGTAATCCCAGCTTCTTGGGGGGCTGAGGCAGGAGAATCACTTAAACCTTGGAGGCAGAGGTTGCAGTGAGCCCAGATCTCGCCATTGCACTGCAGCCTGGGTGACAGAGCAAGACTCCATCTCAAAAAAAAACAAAACAAACACAAACAAAAACAAATAAATACATGCTGTAGATACAGTGGAGCTCCCTCTCGGTCCAACCCAATCTCATTCTTCCCCTCCAGTAATTGCTCTCTTGAATCTGGGCTGTATCTCATGATGCAATATACACTACTGGTTTGTTTTTTATTTTATACATAAATGCATAATATACTGTTTCTATTTGCAACTTTGCTTTTTTCACTCAGCAGTGTTTCTGAGATTCATTTTTGATGTTTATTCTTTTTAACAACTGTACATTATTACATTGTATAATAATACAGAGTTCTTGATAATGCCAAGTTTATTAATCTAACCTTCTTTTGATGGACAATTAGATTGTATCTGATTTTTCCCTATTACAAGCAATGCTCTAATAAACAGCCTTGAATGTGTGCACATATGCAAGAATTTCTCTAGGAATATACCTAGAAGTGAGATCACTGATCCTAGAACATGGACAGCTTCAATTTTACTGCTATATTTAAAATGTTCTCTTTGAAATCGCTATGCTAATTTATAATCCTCATCAGCAATTTATGAAATTTCCTGAATTCCTCACATATTCCTCATCATCACTTACCATAGGGAAATTTTAACATTTTTTGCCAATCTGATAATATAAAATAAAATCTCATTACTATCTTAAGTTTCATTGATACCTGGTGATATTGAGAATGCTTCCACATGTTTTTTTGGTCATCTCTGTGGCCTCCTTGTTCATATCCTTTGTCCCTATTTTTATTGGGTTGTTGGCCTTTAACTTATTGATTTGTAAGTCTTCCTTATGTATTACGGATACTGAGTCTTTGGATAAGTATAGATTCTTGGATCTTCTAAGTAGACGTTATTACTTATAAATGACAATTTTATTTTTTGTTATCCACTTCTTATTCCTCTAATTTCTTTTGCTTGTTCCATTGCATTAGCTGGGGTGTTCAATACAGTATAGAATAAAAGCAGGAATTGTATATGTTTCCACCATTAAATAGAAGGCTTTTAAGGTATCACGTACATGTTATTTTCTGTAAGCTTTCAGTGTCTACTGTCTATTGGTTAAATAAGTTTCTTTTTATTTCTACTACCTTAAAAGTTTTTTTTCTTTTAATCAATAATGGATATTCTTTTCATCATCATTAGATGCTCTTCTTCATCTATTAAAATGATTGTGTAGGTTTTCTTCCTTTATACCATAAAAGTATTTAAGTACATTGAGAGATTTTCTAACGTTAAACCATTCACTATTGCTGGGATAAACTCTGACTGATCAGAATTTTTTTTTTTTTTTTTTTTGCTTAATACATTGCTAGCATCAGGTGCAAATGTGTTAACATTCTCCAGTTTGACTGTAGAATTAATTTCTTTTTGTAATTCTTCACCTTATCAACCATATGTATTGTTGAGTGTATACATGTTCAAGATTATCATAACTTCCAGAATAATTTTTATTTGTGAAAATGCCTTTTTGATCTAGTTTCTCTTATGTTATTGTAGCTATGGAGCTTTCTTATATCTGGCTACCTTATCAACAATATGTATTGTTGAGTGTTTACAGGGTCAAGATTATTATAACTTCCACAGTGATATTTATCTGTGAAAATACTTTTTTGGTCTAGTTTCTCCTGTTACTAAAGCTATCGAGCTTTCTTTTGGTTGCTAAATATCTGCATATAATGTGTTTTCCAGCCCTTTAGTTCAACCTTCACATGTCACTGTATTTTAAAGACGTCTCTTGACATAACAAAAATAGACCTTGTGCAGGACTTTGGGGGAAATTTTTCCCCCTCAATCAGAATACCTCTGTCTTTTACAAGCAAGCTTAATTGATTTATATTTATTGTACTACATTTGGACTTATTTATGCTATTTTACTTTGAACTTTTATTAACCATTATTTTTCTTTTACTGTTGTATTTATCTTTTCTTGTCTTCTGTTAAATTGATTGAGTTTCCTTTATTTTCTCTTTTCCTTCTACTGGTTTGTGTATTATATGTTTTAATTCTACTTTTAGAATTAAGTCACCATTGGCCGGGCGCAGTGGCTCCCCCCTGTAATCCCAGCATTTTGGGAGGCCGAGGCGGGTGGATCACGAGGTCAGGAGATTGAGACCATCCTGGCTAACACAGTGAAACCCCGTCTCTACTAAAAATACAAAAAAATTAGCTGGGCGTGATCGTGGGCGCCTGCAGTCCCAGCTACTCGGGAGACTGAGGCAGAATGGCCTGAACCCGAGAGGCGGAGCTTGCAGTGAGCCAAGATTGCACCACTGCACTCCAGCCTGGGAGACAAAGCGAGACTCCGTCTCAAAAAAAAAAAAAAAAAAAGAATTAACTCACCCTTTAAGTTCTCAAAGTACTCGTGATGTTAAAAGTCCACAGTTAATTAACATCTCTCCCAGTTCCAGGATCTTCTGTTCAGAACTTAGCACATTTCTGGCAACTAAGGATTGACAACTGTTAAAAAATATCATTTCCCATTATATTTTTGGATTGGTTGTTGCTGATATATAAAAAATGTTGAATTTTATAAATGAATTTTCTATCTGGCCACCTTATGAAACTCTTAATAGTTCTAATACTTTAACCGTCTTGGGTTTTCTAAGTACTTAATTAAATTCCTCACATAGAATGATTATTTTTATCTTCTCTTTTTCCAACAATTGTATGCCTTATCTATGTTACCAGTTTTATCAGATCACTAATAACGAGGGTTCTTTTAAAGTCAATTGGAGTGAGAAAAACCCAAAGATGCCATTAAGTCCTTGAGTGTCTTTGGGGAAGAAAAGGTAGGTTTAGGAAAAGAGAGACAAAAGGCAAAGTGAACAACTAAGACAATACCATGTATTGCAAATTTAGGTGTGATTTAATGATGGCTAAGAAAAAATTCTAAATTATATATAAAAGTGTATTCGTATATAAGGTAGTTTAAATAAATAACAGGTAATGTGGGCAGGCAACAACCATCAAAAATGACTGGAAATATTCAAATTCAACCATGGTGATTTGGTTGGCAGCAATCAGAGAATTGACTATGCTTCAGTAGATTGAAATCCGTTATAATCTATTAATGTGAATACAGGTGACAGGAAACAACCGAATACAGCATTCTCATAAATAGTTCTTAGAATATGAATTCAAAAGAAACTCTATTTCCTCGTTGTGACACAATCAAGCTTTAAGCAATGAACGCTTTAATTATTGTTTTTCAGCTTAGAAAGTAACTATATATTTTATCATTGGGTTCTAAAAACAACACCGCTCAAGAGGTCATTGTAGCAACAATCAAAATTTGTGGAGCATTTTACAGATTTCAATGTCACTTATGTTATTTCAACTGATCCTCATATTTCCATCCTTCATACCCTCACGATTCATGCTTCAGCAAAACATTCTACCTGTAGTCTCTTGTATCTTCCATATGATGATGCTGTTTTACACTTTTACACATTCTCTGCCAGAATGGCCTGACGTGCCTAACCTTCCAGTTGAACTCCCACCCACCTTTCAGGCACCTTATAGTTAAGAGCAGCCTTCATTCTGTTGCCTGGCTCATGGGCAGGGGCAGGATTCCCAGCAAGGGGTACTATGTCAAGAGGCCTAAAAGGACATATCAGCATGGTAAAAGGAAATGGCTTGGGGTGTATGAGAAGCTCCTATGGTTACATGATTGGGAGGAATTCTTTTCATTTCGTGTTACAGACGGAGCATCTGAAATGAGAAGGGACCACAGTGAGCCAGTGAGTGAAAGAGGAGGAAGATTCTGACACCCAGAGCTTTACCTTCAACATTTCCTTCTGTTTATTCCTTATCTAGACTTCCATTTTCCTACCCCATAGATACCCACTCTTTGCCCCTAACTTGCCTTCAACTCCTCTACTGCCTTGTAAATGTCCCATGTGTGCTTGAAAAAAGAGTGGGCTCTGCTATTGTTGGAATCAAATTTGTTAATTGTGGTTATCACATTTGATTGTTCTTACTGATTTTCTGTCTGTCCTATCCATCATAAAGGAAGACACTGTTAAAATTTCTCATTATGATAGTAGATTTCTAAATTTATCCTTGTTTTGTCAATATTTGCTTTGTGTATTTTGAAGTTATGTTATTGGGTGCATAGAAGTACGTAAGTGTTATGTTTTCCTGATTCTTGATTTGTATATTTTGAAGTGATGTTTTTGAGTGCATACACATATAGCATTTTTATGTTTTCCTGGTGAATTGAATCTTTAGCAATACGTACTGACTTCTGTATTTCTATTAATGCTTCTGCCTTGAAGTCTGATGTTAATATAACTCCTTGGATTCAATTGTCCATTCTTTTAGTTTCAAACTTTTGGAGCATTTATGCTTTAAGCATGTCTCTTATAAACATCATATAACTGCATATTTTTAAAAATATATGCAGTCCAACATTCTGTAACTGCAGGGTTAATCTATCCACATTGATAATTATTACTGATATAGTTTGATGAATTTCCACTGTCTTATTTTGTTCTTTATTTTTTACCTTCTCTTTCTATGCATTTCCCCCTTCTTTTGATTTAAGTAAGTTTTTATCCTATTTTATTTTCTTCCAATAGCTTGTAAGTTATTCACTTTACTCTGTCATTTTAGATGTAATTTTTAACATCTTAACATGAATCCAGACTTTACAAAGCCTAGATTTAACCAATATCATAGCCTTCCTCTCAAATAATAAATAACCTTAGAACAAATTGCCTCCACAAACCTTTTCTACACAGTTCCCTCCTCTTCCTCCTTGCTTCTTTGTGCGCATTTATGTTTGCTATTTGAAAGAATTTCCTGAAAGTAAAAGTGAGATTTTTTAGAAGGCTGACATGAGGGCAGCAATAGTAGACTTTCACGTGACTCCTGTCCCACCACCTTGAGCTGTGTGGTTTAGCCAACTTACTTAATCTCTCTGAACCTCAATCTCTTGCTTTCTAAAGTGGGGATGACAGTATCTACCTTCCAGAGCCATGGTGAGCATTGAAGGTAATATATGCAAAGAAGCAGCACATAGGCAGGGCTCAGACATCATAGTTATTATTATATAGATAACCCCAAATGGAGGGCCTGGGCCCTCTGACTTCTTCAAAGATAATAATCTGAACTAAACCACAACATCACACAAACACCTCCCAGCACCCAGATAGTTTAGACATAGCTCCACCTCTTTGTAAGAGATAACCTTCAACAGATAGGTGAAAAGCACGCTCCTTCCTGAAGATTATGATTCTGGGTGTTGGAAAAGCACTGAACTAGGAGTCAGGGAACCTGGTGATCTGTTGTAATCCAAGGCTTGCCACAAACTTGTGGAATGACCACAGGCCCAGTGTTCTTATCTATAAAATGTAGAGGTTGGCCTAAATGATCTTTGAGCTCTCTTCTAGTTCTCATATTCTATGATACCATTAAAAGGGATGTTCTACATCCCTTTTGCACCCAAACCACTTACTTTCTATACGGCCTAAACTTCTGGTTTGGGTTTCCCAAGGAAGCGAGAGACAACCTTCAATATTAGGCATATCTTTGGAGTTCTTATTAAACAGTAAACCTCACCTCACTATCAAAGATAGCCTCTGGCTCCAGCGTCCTCTTTCCAGTCTCCCACAGAGATTTCCTCTGGGAGTCAACGAGCTTAAGGTGAAATTTGGCTAGGGGTCTGGGAGGAATTCTTTTCATTTCATATTACAGACAGAGCATTTGAAATGAGAAGGGGCCACAGGGGGGCAGTGAGCGGAACAAGAGGAAGATTCGGGTCTCTGACACCCAGAATCTATCTGATTCTGACACAGAAGATGAACCGCGTTAGAGCAAGAACCAGATCCCTCTTTACCCAGTGGCCCAAGCTCTTGATGCGTACCTGTGTCCCTTGTAAAGCTCAGTGAAATCATCACCTAGACATTTCCTGTGCTCCGTGCGTTATTCTAATCTTCACTGGGTACAAGTAGAGCTTAAAGTTCTGATATATGGACAGGAAAGAGAAGAGGGATGAAGCCTTTATCCAGGGCTGGCTGGGCTAAGAGTAAAACAACTTCACCTGGATTCACCCAAGGGGCAAAGAATCTTATCTCAGACTCGGTCCACATCTTTATCAGCCCCCTTTTCCCTTTATCTTTCATGTTGCTCACATGGGCTCCAGGGGCCAGATGAGTTTTCTCTTACTTTGAACATCAGAGAAAAAAAATAACGACAAAAAGTTACTCAACCGACAAACGTTTCTCACCCACACACCTTTCCTCCAGTCAATGACGTTTCCACTGCACCCTGTTAGACGCTGAGTGAGGAAGCATCTGGGCACAAACCGCTGTGGATGCAGATTGAGCAGCACTCACTGTGCACTGGAGGGATGGGAGTCCTGTCCTCACCCAGGGGGCAGATGGAGAGGGGGCAGAGAGAGCAGCCGGGGCTTCACTCCCTGGAAACTCTCATACTCCAAGTGCGGCCTGGGGCTCTGCAGCCCCAGCATCATGTAGGAGCTTGTTAGAAATAGCCTCAATGTCCACACCTGCCCTGACAAATCCCAGTCTGCAAGATCCCGGGGGCTCTGCACACACGCTGCTGCGAACAACCTCAGCATCCGTCCTGCCGGCTCTAGAGCAGCCAACCGGGATATCCTTCTTCTTCAGCAGTGGTGTCCGCTCTCTAAAATGACTGTCCCCCACATCTCTTTCCAGGGTTGGTATTTCTGGTTAACTCAAGGGACACAAAAATAGCTCAGGGAAAAATTAATTTTCATTCTACTCCAATTCTAATAATGAAGTGGTAAAAATTAAAGGGACAGCTTTCAGATTATGGGAGTGCAGCTGCGGGTATGTGGCAAAATCGAAGAAAGAGGGCTCATAATTCCACGTCAGGGAAGAGCCGCTGGCCTGCCCAGGCTGCTGTTTATCTTTACTGTGAATGGGGCCTCTTTTTTGTTTGTTTGTTTTGTTTTGTTTTCACTTAACCTCAGTGGCAAGAAAAATGGGGCCTCTTGCCAGGAGGAGCAGAGAGTGACGCGGAAGGCAAAGACCACCTCATTTCACCAAGTTCCTCGTCTTTTATTTGAAATCCAAGACATAGAAGCTGCACATTTGTCCTTCTGGGAAGAGTGACGAGTGACTGAGAGTGGAGTCGAACACTCGAAAGGAGAGAGCAGGTGCCTGGGAGTCAGAAAAGCTGGCTTGAATTCCTAAATCTGTCGCCGTTTGTCCTGGGTGAGGTCATTCTGGTCATCTGTGGCAGGAGGACTACAAATGCCTGGCTTTTCCCTTTCTAGCGGGCACACAAAGAGACAGAGAAGTTGAATCTTTAGCAATCCATTGAAGGGGAAACCCCACAATGCAAAGAGAAGCATTGTCGAGGGCCCTTCACCTGCACCCTCTGTTCTCCCAGACCTGTTCCATGATGCATTCCAGAGGAGGTGGCTCTCCGTCACTGTCACTTGCGATTGCCAAGGCGTCAGCCAGACAAGGCAAAAGCTCCCAAGGGATGTTACCCTTCAGCTGCATACAGAACTCCTAGAGGCAACAAATCCACAAGGAAAGATACACCCATGATCGTGTATTTCAGCCACAATGATGGAGGTGAGGTGGAAAAGGACGAGGAACAAGTGGGATTCTGCCCATGTCTGTCTAATGAGCATCCACAGCAAACTCCAACGGAAGATGTGAAACACGCTCAACACTAGAAGAACTCGGTTTGACTCTGTCTTGGTGTGGGTCCCAGGCCAAAGCCCTCGGCATTTTCAGGATTAATGATCACTGCTGGCTGTCTCTTTTTCCCTCTGCCCACATAAAAGGCACAAAAACTAAAGAGGAAGGCCACATCACCGCAGAGCCCGTGGTTCAGGATTCTCCTCCTGGGAGCCCCGATTTCTTTTCTTTTCTCACCTTAACAGTGTCCAGAGTACTTTTATTGCCAGAATAGAGATATAGCCTGCTCAGAGCCTCATGTGCGGCCCACCACTCAGGAACAAAGGGAGAGACAGATACTAAGCATGTGTGCAACAGAGAAAATCCAGCCCACGAAACCGTGTGCAAGAGCAGCTCCGTCCTGCCTGAATGTGGCTTTGGGAAGCCCACCTAGAACTTGGCCTGGCGCCAGTCACCCACTCAGAGCCTACTGCCATGAAGGCAGGCCCTCACTCTCCATCCCTGCCCACACAGGGAGACCCAGGGCAAACAGAAAGTCCCCTAGCGGGGGCCCAAGGAACCCCTGGCTCTCTCAGGGTCCCATTCAAGTTTCTGGGCTAGTCTTGCAGACTAAATACCACTCAGTTGCCTGGTGGGAGTAGGTGCTGGGCAGGGTGGACAGGAGCCCCACTGCTTCTCAGCCCTGTGCCAACCCCTTTGTGTGAGACCCTAGTGCAGGGTGGGGAGCCCCAATTTCTAAGCCTTGAGTGTTTACCACCCTACACCCCCACCTCCAACTCCCGAATTGATCATCTCAAATTTTCCCACAGTCCATAGGCACCAGACACTTCAAATAATCTCAGAAAAGAAGGTGATGTCTACATCCAGAATCGTGCCAATACTTTAAAATTACAGGGAGAAAAATATTCCCCTTCCCCTCTTCTAAGGAAAATTCTGTCTGCCTCCCAAGCTCCCAGGTCCCTTGGTGTGAGCTGGGGGAGTGCGTAGAGCTAGGAATTGGAAAATATTCCGGGAGAGAATGATTTATGTTGAGAAGACCCATTGGGAGAAGCAGGAAGTGGGTCTGGAAAGACAGGAGGAAGTGTAAAGGCAGAGAAAAGCCCTTGTTAGCTGAATTTTGAGAAGTAATTTTTGGCATTGTTAGTGAGTAAAACTAGAGAATGAGGACAGTTGTATGCTGTCTTAAAAAATAAAAGAATGATAATATAGGGAAAGATGATTTCAACATTTTGGAGTCATATAAGTGGAATCCTCCTGTTATTACTGTGCAAGACTTTTAGACAAATTATTTTTTATTCTTTTTTTGGATGTTGTTCTGTTGCTGCTTTTATAACACTACACTGAGAAGGGCTAAAAAAAAAATCCCAAATTTATTCCTATTAGATTGAAAAAGAGCAACCCTCCAGCGTACCTTTCCACACACTCTTCTACCTCCTGCTGCCTTCAGGTGATGTTTGGCACTTCCTGACAAGGCCTTTCAGGGAAAAGGATTATAGCCAAGCTCTTTAGTGGTTACTGAGCTACAGACCTGGAGGTGTCAAGATCCTAAATTCCAGGAAAGATTCTTTATGAAAGGAAAGTCTGTGAGAATAAGAAGTTCTGGAACTTCCCCTTGTCCCCGCATGACCTCTTCAGACACTCGGGCTAATTTATGATGACTCTGAAAATGCCCATGACCTCATCTAGAAAAACGCACTCTCATGGAATTCAAGAGTTTCTAAGGGCACAAAATAGCTTCCAAGACAATTTGTTTCCTTCTTTTCAAATTGATGTGTTTAGAAATGTTCTTGGCTTGTGATTGACATCTCAGATTCCAAAAACATCTGAGGTCAATCCTGGTTATTTGTGCTAATGAATAATTACAAAAGAGTAGCTAAATATGCTTCTCGCTCATTTTGTTGAGCTAAAATTACTTATAAAGAAATGCATAGATCTGCGGCATACAATTTGATGAGTTTTGACAAATGTGTACAGCTGCAAAAACGTTTTCATCACTTCTGCCTTCTGGTCAATACCCACCTACCACAAGAAACCACTGTCTGCTTTCTATCTCTGGATATAACTTTTGTCTTTTTGTGAACTTCATATAAATGAAAGCAAAGTGTATGCACTATTTCGTGTTTAGCTTATTTTGTTCAACATAACATTTTTGAGATTTATCAATATTGCCTGTATCAATAGTTCATTATTTTTTATTTTTGAATGGTTTCTATAGTATGACTATATCATAAGCTACTTGTCTGTTCTCCCAATGATGGATGTTTGAATTATTGAGTTGGTTATTATTAATAAAGCTACTATGTACTAGAATGGAAGGGGCTTAATAAAAGAAAGAAGTTACTATAAATATTTTATAAAAGTCTTTCTGTAGACACATCCCTTCATTCCTCTTAGATAAATACCTAGAAGTAGAATTGCTGAATTGTAGGGCAGGTATATATTTAACGTCAATAAAAATACTTTCTTTTTTTGTTTTTTTTTTGTTGTTGTTTGTTTGTTTCTTTGTTTGTTTTTGAGACAGAGTCTCACTCTGTTGCCCAGGCTGGAGGGCAGTGGCGTGATCTCAGCTCACTGCAACCTCTGCCTCCTTAGTAGAGAAAGGGTTTCGCCATGTTGACCGGGCTGGTCTCAAACTCCTGACTTAAAATGATCCACCTGTCTCAGCCTCCTAAAGTGCTGAGATTACAGGCGTGAGCCACCATGCCTGGCCAAATACTTTCAGATAGTGTTCCAAAGTAATTACATTACTTACACTGCCACCAGTAACATAAGAGAGTTCTGGTAGTTCTACTTCCTCCCCAGTATTTGACGTATCAGTCTTTTATCCATTTCCTCCATTTCCCCAATGGGCTATCTCATCATTGTTTTCAACTTGCATTTTATTGATATCTGATGTTAAATACACTTTCAAGTGTTTATTGATAGTCGTGTATCTTCTTTGGGGAAGTGATTGTTCAAGTCTTTGCCCATTTATTGGGCTGTTTGCCTTTTACTCTTGCTTTGTTTTTCTTTATATATTCTGGACACAAGTATTTGTGACAAATATATATATTGCAAATATTTTCTCTCAGTCTATCATTTACTTTTTCATTTTTTTCTTTTTTTTTTTTTTGAGATGGAGTCTCGCTCTGTCACCCAGGCTGGAGTGCAGTGACGCGATCTGGGCTCACTGCAAGCTCCACCTCCCAAGTTCACGCCATTCTCCTGCCTCAGCCTCCCCAGCAGGTGGGACTACAGGCGCACACCACCACACCCGGCTAATTTTTTTGTATTTTTAGTAGAGACAGGGTTTCACCGTGTTAGCCAGGATGGTCTCCATCTCCTGACCTTGTGATCTGCCCGCCCCGGCCTCCCAAAGTGCTGGGATTACAGGCGTGAGCCACCACACCCTGCCTACTTTTTCATTTTCTTAATGTCTCTGGATGAGTAGACATTCTCAATTTTTTTCTTTTATAGTCAGTGCTTTTGCATCCTCTATGAGCAATCTTTGCCTATCTCCAACTTGCAAAGTCATTTGCCTTAATTTTCTTCTGAAATCTTTTTAGTTTTGCCTTTTATGGTTACATCTATAAGATATAGACCTAGTACATAGATCTTTATCTTTATATATATAATAAAATTAATTCTTGCATAAGATGTGAGTTTTTTTCTCATACATTTATCCATTTGCTCCAGAAGCATTTGTCGAAAAGATTTTTCCTTTCTCATTGAATTTCCTTGGCACATTTATTTGTTTAAAAAAAAAGCAGTTGAACAAACATGAGTTGAGTCCATTTCAGGACTTTCTGCTCTGTTTCATTACTGTTTGTCCTTATGCTAATACTACGCTGCCTTGATTTCCATAGTTTTATAGAAAGCCTGAATATCAGATGTCATGAATCCTCCAAATGTATACATCTTTACGATTGTCTTAGATATTCTAGGTCTTTTGTGTTTCTAAGGAGCTTTTAGAAATAACTTCCAAATTTGTACTAAAAAATTGTGTTGGATTTTTAAACTGTAGTTGCCTTGAATTAATTGATCAATTTAAGGTGAATAGATTTTTTAAATGAATGTTACAATCTATAAAGATAGTATATTTTTCCATTTGCTTAATTCTTTTAAAATATGTCTCAGCAATATTTCAGAGTTTTCAGTTTAGTGGTATTACAAGTTTTTGGTAGGCTTATTTACAAACATTTTATGTTTTTTGATGTAATTGTAAATACAATTGTTTTTAAATTTTTAATTTTCTAATTGGTTGTGTCAGTATATAGAACTAACTACAAGTGATATATATATACATATATATACATATATATATATATATACATATATATATATATATATATATATATATATATATATATGTATATATATATACTGAAATTGCTAACTTGCTAAATTCTGGTAGCCATTTTGCAGATCCCTCAGTAATTTTATGTAAACAATCATGTTATCTGAGAATAATGTTCCTTATCTTGAAATCTACTTCCTGATATTAATATAACCATACCAGCTTCCTTATGCTTATCTTTGTAGATTATATCTTTTTCTATCCTGTTTTCTCAACCCATCATTTTTATTGTATTTAAAGTGTGTTCTCTTGAAGACAGCATATAGTTGGGCCCTGCTGTTTAATCCAGTCTGAAAGTTTCTATCTCTTAAAGTATGGATTTTTGTCCATTTATATTTAATGTAATTACTGATAGGGTTGGCTTCAAGTCTACCTTCTTGCTATCTGTTTCTTAGCTGTTCCTTTTCTATTTTTATTACTCTATTCTTCCTTTTCTCTCTTCAGTTTGGCTAACCAAACAAATTTAATATTCTTTTTAGCTACACTCTTTGTGGTATTATTTGGTGGTTTCTCTAGGCTATTCAGCATGAATCCTTAACTTATCACTATCTACTTACTTAATATTGTACCATTTTCTATATGATATAAAAACCTAAAACAGTACAATTCCATTCTCCCTAACTTTTATACTAGGACTGCTGTATATTTTACATTTACATGTTCAACAGAACCCACCATACCATATTATTATTTTTGTTTTAAACAGTTGTCTTTCAAAGATGTTAAAAACAAAAAGTGGCCTTTTCACTTATCTAAATATTTACGTGTTCTTTATTACTTCATGTCGATTTATGTTTCTAGCTAGTGTAATTTCTCTTTTGCTTGAAAATTTTTCTTTAGTGTAATGCAGATGTGCCATAATAAATTCTCTAAGCTTTCTTTTATCTGAAAATATACTAAATTCACCCTCATTTTTAGAGGATATTGTCTCTAGGTAGATTTCAAGGTTGACGGGTTTTTTTCTTTTAAAACTTTGAATATGTTGTGCCATTATTTTCTGCTTCTATTGTTTCTGTTGAGAAGTCAGTTGTTATTCATCATCGTTCCGCTGTAGGTACGTGTCCTTTCCCTCTGGCCACTTTTAAGATTTTCTCATTATCTTTGGTTTTCAGCAGTTTAGCTACGATGTATATAGATGGGCTTTTCTTTATACGTATCTTGCTTGGTGCCGTGAACATCTGGATCTGTAAATCAGTATCTGTCATCAAATTTCAAAAATTTTTGGCCATTATTTCTTCATATATTTTTTCTGCTCCATTCTTTCTCTTCTCTATCATTGGGAATTCAATTAAATGTAGGTTAGGCTATTTAATATTGTCTTACAGCATGCCAAAGGTCCATTCTTTTTCAGATTTCTTGTGTTCATCAGTTTGGATAATTTCTATTGATTTGCCTTCAAGCCCCGGCTAGGCTCATTTCAGATATTGTAACTTTTAGTTTTAATTTTTTATGTTTAAAAATATTGGCTGGGCACGGTGGCTCACACCTGTAATCCCAGCACTTTGGGAGGCCAAGGCAGGTGGATCATCTGAGGTCAGGAATTCGAGACCAGCCTGGTCAACATGGTGAAACCCCATCTCTACTAAAAATACAAAAATTAGCCATGTATGATGGCATGTGCCCGTAATCCAAGCTATTTGGGAGGCTGAGGCAGAAGAATCACTTGAATCTGGGAGGCAGAGGTTTCAGTGAGCCAAGATTGTGCCACTGCACTCCAGCCTGGGCAACAGAGCAAGACTCCATCTCAAAAAAAAAAATTACAAGTTTTCATTTATCTACTGAGATATCCTGTTGTTTCACTCATTATAACCATTTTTTCTTTAAATTAGCAGTTGGCAATTTTTTTTCTGAAAGGGCCAGAGAGTAAATATTTTAGGCTACCTGGCGATGTTACTCCACTGCAACTACTCAACTCTGCCATTATAGCAGAAAAGCAGCCATAGACAAAATGTAAATAAATGGGTGTGTCTTTCTTCCAATAAAACTTTATTTATAAAAATAAACCACTGAACACAGTGTCTCACTCCTGTAATCCTAGCACTTTGGGAGGCCGAGGCAGGTGGATCACCTGAGGTCAGGAGTTCGAGACCAGCCTGGCAAACGTGGTGAAACCTCATCTCTACTAAAAACACAAAAAGTAGCCAGACGTGTTGGCGCACACCTATAATCCCAGCTACTTGGGAGGCTGAGGCAGGAGAATCGCTTGAACCCGGGGGGCAGAGGTTGCAGTGAGTCAAGATTGCACCATTGCACTCCAGCCTGGGCAACAAGAGCGAAACTCTGTCTCAAAAATAAATAAATAAATAAATAAATAAATAAATAAATAAATAAATAAATAAAATAAATGGCAGCAAATCTGCAGGTCATAGTTTACTGACCTCTGCTTTAAGTCATTGAGTGTAATTACAACTGTTTTAAATTCCTTTTGTGCTAATTCCAAAATCTAGGTCATTTTAGGGGTCTTTTTTTTTTTTTTTTGAGACAGACTCTCACTCACTCTGTAACCCAGGCTGGGGTGCTCGGCTGACTGCAACCTCCACCTCCCAGGCTCAAGCAATTCTCCTGCCTCAGCCTCCCAAGTACCTGGGACTACAGACATGCGCTGCCACACTCGGCTGATCTTTTGTATTTTTAGTATAGATGGGATGTCACCATGCTGGCCAGGCTGGTCTGGAACTCCTGACCTCAGATGATCCGCCTGCCTTGTCGCCCCAAAGTGCTGGGATTACAGGCATGAGCCACCACACCCAATTTTACGGGTCTGTTTCTATTGAGCACTTTTTTGAGTAGGTCAAGTATGTCACATTTTCCTGTTTCTTCACATGTCTAGATTTTCTTTTAATTTGCTGGATATTATGAGCTATACATTATAAAGGGTCTAGATTATCTTATGGTCCTTTAAAAGGTAATGCATTTTGCTCTGCCAGGCAGTTAAATGACTAGCGCATCCTCTTGTCTATTAGGCTTGGTTTTAATCTTTGTAAGGGCAGGTCTATTTTGGTTTTGAAATTCATCCTAGGGATGCCTCTTTCTCTAAAGCAGGATTGGAAAACTACAACCCACAGCTCAGACACCTGTTTTTATAAATAAAACTTAGCATAACTCTTCTTCTCTCAGCCCTCACAATGGACAATCAGGGCTAAGTTTCACTGAGTTCTGCCCTGTTCAGGTTCAGACCAGCTCTTGGCTAAGAACCTGAGGTGGACCCCTATACATAATTTTGGGGCGACCTTCATGCAGTGTCCTCTCCAGAGCCCCACCCCACAAATCCCAGTCATGTCACGTCAATGAAACCACTCTGCTTGGGTTCCACCTGGGTGCTGCCGGGAAGGAAAGCACCCCAGGAAGGAAGCCAGGGCAACTGTGGGCGCCTCTCACGTGTTTCCCTCCTCCAAAATCATGTAGCCCTGAGCTGCCTGTTGTTCAGCACCTGAAAGCACTTGCTGTATACATTTGGACTGGTTTTACAGCTGTTTCAGCAGAAACGTAAGTTTTGGTCCCAGTTACTCTGTGATGGCTGGAAGCAGAAGTCTTCACTGGTTTTTCTGATTATTATCCATGTCTTGCTTTAGTAACAGATTTATCTTCTGATACTTAAAATATTGGTTGGTGTTGATCCATAATAAGTGCCAACAAATGGTACCAGTGATATGAGAAGTACAGAGAGACAAACTTTTGCAGGAGTTAAAGGTTAAGGTAAACTTCAGTCCAGTCTCTATCTGAATTACCATTCTCTTCTTCTGGACAGTGAGAAAAAGGAAAGGAACAGAACTACCATCTATTCCATACCTGTTATTTTCCAGGCTTTCTTCAAGTTACCTTAGTATATTATTTGCTATAATCATTAAATCAATAAAATAATAATTATTACAGCACGAAGCTGAGCCTTAGAGAAGTAAAATAATAAAACTATGTAGCTTGTAAGCTGCTGGAGCTAGAAGTTAGAAACCCATCTTTCTCCTTCCCACCATGCTGCTGCTCTTGCCTTATCATGAGATTACCAGCATTTATTGAGCACTTATGTTGCCTGTTCCACTGTAATTTCTGGCCCATGGAGCCCATTTAAATTGCTTTTGCTTAGTCCCTTGTTGGTTAGAGATGGGCCAAGCTGTCTGATTTCTCCCTATCTTCGTTTTTTTTTTTGAGACAGAGTCTTGCTGGGTTTCCCAGGCTGGAGTGCAGTGGCGTGATCTCGGCCCACTGCAACCTCTGCCTCCTGGGTTCAAGTGATTCTCCTGCCTCAGCCTCCCAAGTAACTGGGACCACAGGCACATGCCACCACGCCCGGCTAATTTTTTTGTATTTTTAGTAGAGACTGTGGTTTTCACCATGCTGGCCAGGCTGGTTTTGAACTGCTGACCTCATGTGATCTACCCGCCTTGGCCTCCCAAAGTGCTGGAATTACAGGCATGAGCCATTGCACCCAGCCTCCCTACCTTCAGTTCTTAGGGGAGACAGGAGAGTCCTGAGCCATTGGATGGGGATGGTCTTCCGGAGGACAAGGTGCTGGGCAGAGTCTAAGGGCACAGAGAAGCTTCACTTAACCTGAATGACCAATACACAACCGGCCAACCCACAGCCATAAGTACAGCCAGCAGCCCTGATCAGCCTCCGTGTGGGCTTCCATTGACGGAGAGGCCACAGACTCCTGCTTTCCTGCCTCTTCCTGTCCCTGTCATCTCCCCGTCCACTTCCTTTATCCAGCATGTGATATTTCCCCCCAAAATCTAATCTCTTAGAGCAGAGAACTTGTTGCAAAGTAGGCAATGGAATTATTTTTCTGATTAGACCTGTGCCACTTTTCCTTTTAATAGTTTGATGTTTGACCACTGCTTCTGGTGCCTTTAGTGAGATACCAGAGTCCATTTTTCAGGCTGAGGGAGGCTAAGGTCTTCATAATATAAGAAGGTATTTGGTGAACTCAGAGGTGGGCAGGTGGGTGAGAAATACACATTTCCTATTTGCCAGACATTGAGTGAAGCACTTTCTGTATATTTCTCAAAAAATGGCGCACAGTCATTAATTATAGAAAGTCTAACAACTCGTATATCCTTAAAAGTATCTTGCACAGACATATTTTGCCCCTCAATTAAATGTACGTAACTTTGCTTCTTCCTTTCTTCACATTCCTTGACCCTCCTCTCTCCATACTTGCTTGACATGAGGCATATTCGGAATAAAACCTTGTTAATTTCTACTCATCTAGTTTGAAATACATTGTGCTTTGGAGAGGAGCTTGGTTGTAGTTAATTTTTGAGCCAGCTCTGATACAAAGCTTTCTAAAGAACAATGGTAGCAGCCTTAGTTGCTTTCTCACAAAAAGTAGGGCATACCATCTTTTAAATAAAGTGAAGAAATATGTGATTAAGTCATTATAGGATTAAATATGTGAGTACTTGCCTGGGGCCTCTTGAGTTCCTAATAGGCTTCTTTTGCTTTGCAGAGCTCTGTGACGATGACCCGCCAGAGATCCCACACGCCACATTCAAAGCCATGGCCTACAAGGAAGGAACCATGTTGAACTGTGAATGCAAGAGAGGTTTCCGCAGAATAAAAAGCGGGTCACTCTATATGCTCTGTACAGGAAACTCTAGCCACTCGTCCTGGGACAACCAATGTCAATGCACAAGCTCTGGTAAGTGTCCCTTCTGTGACTACCAAGAACAAAAGAACTGCAGCAAAGAGTGAGACAGAGCCCAGCTTTTGTTCACTCAGCCCTATAGACACAAATGGGCCAGTCCAGTCTACAGGATAACTAATTTTAGTGGTTCCTGAAAAGTCATTCACTAAACACAATTTTTTTTTTTTTTGGAGACAGACTCTCACTCTGTTGCCTAGGCTGGAGTGCAATGGCACGCGATCTCGGCTCACTGCAACTTCCGCCTCCTGGCTTCAAGTGATTCTCCTGCCTCAGCCTCCTGAGTAGCTGGGATTACAGGCACCCTCCACCATGCCTGGCTAATTTTTGCATTTTTAGTAGAGATGGGGTTTCACCATGTTGGCCAGGCTGGTCTCAAACTCCTGACCTTGAGTAATCTGCCCATCTCAGCCACCCAAAATGCTGGGATTACAGGCATGAGTCACAGTGCCCGGCCACACAATTTTATTTTTATTTTTGAGACAGTCTCGCTCTGTTGCCCAGGCTGGGGTGCGGTGGTACAATCTCAGATCACTGCAACCTCCACCTCCTGGGTTCAAGTGAATCTTGTGCCACAGCTGCCCAAGTAGCTGGGACTACAGGTGTGCACCACCATGCCTGGCTAATTTTTTTATTTTTAGCAAAGATGGGGTTTCGCCATGTTGGCCAGGCTGGTCTCGAACTCCTGGCCTCAAGTGATTCTCCTGCCTGGGCCTTATAGGCGCACACCACCATGCCTGGCTAATATTTTGTATTTTTTGTTAGTGATGGGGTTTCCCCATGTTGTCCAGGCTGGTCTTAAACTCCTGGGCTCAAGCAGTCCTCCTGCCTCAGCCTCCCAATGTGCTGGAATTATAGGTGTGAGCCACCACACCTGACCTAGACACCCTCTTTTATCCTGAGCTGGAATACTGATCACCCCCCTCACTGGGGCACTCAGACTCAACTCCTTTGCCAAACTCTTCACAATAGAGAGGGCTGTTCTAGAAGTTTCCTTGTCATTGTGTTAAGATGGCGTCTCTAACTTCAAGCATTCTGAACAGCCTTAGGGAGCAAAGGATCAGTGTGTTGTGGAGTGAGACCACTCCTGCTGCTGTCAAACAACACAGAGACAATTGACAGCAAGCAAGGAGTCCCTTTTGGTGAGAGACACACACATGCACACATAACATACATGACATACACAGACACGTAACATACATGGCATACACAGACACGTAACATACATGACATGCACAGACACGTATACACACGCTCAAAAACATGTCGTGGGCATTGCCATATGCACTTGAATACCCAGAGGCCGGTGCTGGGAGGGCATACTCTGGTTTCGTATTTGTAAGCTCAGCAGCCAGACACCACCAGACACATCGTGGGCCCTGGACAGGTGTGCTTCTCAAGTGAATGAATACATGAACAGTGTTTTCTATGAAGCATTTGTGAAATTATCTGCATCATTCCATCTATATTTTCTAGCCACTCGGAACACAACGAAACAAGTGACACCTCAACCTGAAGAACAGAAAGAAAGGAAAACCACAGAAATGCAAAGTCCAATGCAGCCAGTGGACCAAGCGAGCCTTCCAGGTGAGAGATGAATCTGTCCTCCAGCTAACTCCTGCTAGCGCACCCTTCTCCTGCAGGCAGATGATGTGTACCCAAAGGAAGAAGGTCTGCCCTGCCTTCTATAAACACATGCATGTGGCTCCGTCCTCCCAAGACATCATTGCAGACAAGAATTAGTGCAGAGTTGCTCAGAGGCTGTTTGCTCAGCAACTAAAGCCAATCTGACGGCAGCCAATCCAGGTCTGGGCTTACTCCCTGGTTTGGTAACTGGCCAAATAGAATTCAACCCAAATTCAACTCAACTTAAAAGCGTCTGTTGGGTCTGTGTGCCAGGCCCTGCTGATAGAAGACACAAACAAGAGTGTGACAACGATCCCTGCCCTCAAGGAAACGCTCTGCGTCTTCCCCTTAAGCACAAGACAACGCACCGCAAAAAAATTACTTGCTTCCCAGTATTTCTTCCAGGGCAAGGTTGTAAAATGTGCATGCCACACTTGTGAGTCTCAAAAGCTCCAGATGCGTGTGTCCTGGCCAGCAGTCTGTGCATGAGTGGGCACTGTGGCTGTCCCTTGTCTGCCCTCTGCTTTCCCACGACTGAATTGGGATTCAGTTATGGTGTCAAGAAAATGGGCTGGGCGCAGTGGCTCACGCCTGTAATCCCAGCACTGTGGGAGTCTGAGGCAGGCAGATCACTTGAGGTCAGGAGTTCGAGACCAGCCTGGCCAACATGGTGAAACCTTGTCTCTACAATCATACAAAAATTAAGCTGGGCATGGTGGTGGATGCCTGTAGTCCCAGCTACTCAGGAGGCCAAGGCATGAGAATTGCTTGAAATCAGGAGGTGGAGGTTGCAGTGAGCAGAGATTGCATCACTGCACTCCAGCCTGAGTGACAGAGGAAGACTCTGTCCCCCCTCAAAAAAACAAAACAAAAAAGAAAAAAAACCCACAGAACCTGCTAGGAAGAATTGAGCTTTCTAAGGTCAGGCTAGCCTTAGGAGACTTCAGAGCCCTTTGCTGATTTTACAACCTTACAAAGAACTGTATCAGATACCATCCCATTTGAGCCTGGCTATACAATGAGTCAGGACCAGGAAGGGTTACTTCAACTTACTGAAGAAACTGAGATGCACAAAAGATAAAAAGATTTGGTTAAGCTCACATAGTAGGGCTGGAATCAGACCTCAGGTCTCCCAGATTAGATGAGGAAACTTTCTGCTGATTACTTATTTTAAAAGAGTTTGAATTTACTTACAGCTTCCATTATTTTATTTTTTAAAACAGACTAATCTAGGGGCACAGTTGCAACATGATGCTCTTACTCCTTCCCCTTCCGACTTTGTCCTGGAATGGTGTTTCCAAGCACATTTGTTTGTTTTGTTCTACTTCCCCCATATCACCCTGCACAGTTATTGGAAGGCTTCAAAGAGGCCAATGCTTGTTGTCCTTTCTCGAAGGCTGGCTCTGCCTGAGGGATGTTTCAAAGATTGTCTCAGTTTGGGTGTTTTCATTGGAAAGAAGCAAACCCAATTCAAACATGTTCAGACAGTTACGAATTGTACTGGCTGTCAAACAACCTTTTATCCTGAGACCAAAACACAAGTTCAGTCGTGATGTTCAAGGTGCCACATGGCAGGAGCCAGCCTGGGACAGGGCCACCCAGCTTCCTGCTGGGGAAGAGGCTCTGGAGGATATTTACAGAGGCTCTGTTGGGTATGCAGGGTTGGGGAGAGTCTGGAAGTTCAGAGCACGTGCGCAGTTTCACAGGCTGGGGTTAGAGGGCACATACAATTCCATATGTCCAGGTTGGGGGCTGTGGGTGGGGAATTCAGAGATTTAATCAGAACAAGACATGGTCTCAGGCCACAGGTCCGTCAGGCCTGGGATGTAGTTGGGTGAGTGGAAAGTTCTGGGGATGGGAAATTTTGAGACGTCTTGAAAGGGCGCATGTGTGTCAACCTTCAGGTGTGGCTTGATCAGAGATGGTGCTCCATTTCTCTGAGGTTCCCTCAGCCCGTCCCTCCTCCTGGCTTTGGTGTTGTCCCCAATCCTTCCGACATCATCCCAAGATGCCCAGCCGCTGCCCCCAAGAATGCACTTCCTCACTTGTCCAGCAGAAATCCAAGGTGGTCTTCATGCTCCATTGGCCCAAATAGGCTTGAGCCTACCCTTGTGTCTCAGCTGAGACTGCCCCGCCCACTCCTGTCCACTGTCAACACCTGCACTGTCTTCCAAGAGGCAGTTGTGGCGTTCCTGTCTCGGGGCCGCACCAACCAGAATGAATCGCTCATTCCTCTGTGTTCCCATTGCCAACGTCTGCTATCCTTCACATGCCTTTCTTACCCAATCCACTGTCCACCCCTTGCAGGAGTGACAGGGTCTTCGTGCCTTCCTACAGGGCCTAGCAAACTTCCCCACGCTCAGACGTTCTCAACATATATTGGTTGAATGAAAGGATGAGCAAGCAGTCAAGAGAGTAAGAACCAAGGTCCAGTCCCTAGCAAGAGGCAACCTGGACTCACTCGCGGTGCTGTCCCCAACTTGCCTTCAGAGCATTCCTTCCATCTTCCAGGTCACTGCAGGGAACCTCCACCATGGGAAAATGAAGCCACAGAGAGAATTTATCATTTCGTGGTGGGGCAGATGGTTTATTATCAGTGCGTCCAGGGATACAGGGCTCTACACAGAGGTCCTGCTGAGAGCGTCTGCAAAATGACCCACGGGAAGACAAGGTGGACCCAGCCCCAGCTCATATGCACAGGTGAAATGGAGACCAGTCAGTTTCCAGGTAGGGTGGCTCCCTTCTGGGGTCCACAATGTTGCTTTGCTCCATCAGGCTGACCAGAGTGGAATCCCTGACCACTCCTGCTGGACAAGAGTGGTCCTTGGACAAGACCCTTGATCTCCCTGGGCTTCCATTTTTTCTCATTCTGAGAAAAAAAAAAAAATTTAAATAGACCAGATCAGATGGACTCTAAGGGCTCCTTCAATGAAGGTCCCCCTGTGCCCTGAGTGGGGAGAAAGGTTGGAGACAGAAGAGAAGGAAAGCCCTCTCCTAAGCACCCTAGATGCTGCCTCGTAGTTGGTCCTAAGTCCACTACTTCTCTAAGCCACCAAGGCCTCCTCTGGCTCCAAGGGCAAGTCCAGTTTCCCACTCACACATTTTTCCTCTTACTGGTGATCGTGTAAATGCATGATCTGAACAGCCCTCCACGGTCAGCATGTTCCTTCCCCTTGTGCCATTCCCCAGCTGAGCTTGTAAAAATAAACATAAAATGTGCAGAGTCGGGACTTACTCAGTGCACATGCGCGCACACACACACACACACACACATACTCATGCAAATGCTCAGCCCACCGATGTCGAGGTCTCCTGCTGTCTTCCTTCTGAAATCTTATTAGTATCACGACAATCAAAAGTGACTTACATGCAGGCTGGGCACAGTGGCTCACACCTGTAATCCCAGCACTCTGGGAGGCCAAGGCGGGCAGATCACTTTAGGTCAGGAGTTCGAGACCAGCCTGGCCAACATGGTGAAACCCCGTCTCTACTAAAAATACAAAAATTATCTGGGCGTGGTGGTGGGTGCCTGTAATCCCAGCTACTTGGGAGGCTGAGGCAGGAGAATCACTTGAACCCAGGAGGTGGAGTTGCAGTGAGCTGAGATCACACCACTGCACTCCAGCCTGGGCAACAGCAAGACTCCGTCTCAAAAAAAAAAAGTGACTTACATTCAACCACAAGTATTCCTGGTTTTCTTGCTCACTGCACTTCTCATACTCCATGTCCTTCTCTTGGGTTCCCTAGGGAGGCTGTTTTGTTCCCTTAGCTGCTTCCCTGGGCCACCCTGACAGCCAGGGAATGCTTGCTGCTTCCTTGGAAGAGGGTGAGAGGCAGGGCAGAGCCAGGGTTGCTGACCCCTCAGGAGAAGTGGAGAGCCTGGCACAGAAGCAGCTGTCCCTTAGTGCATCTCTGCTCCATCCAGTGGTTCAATGGCATTCGTATTATTATGACCTGTTTCCAAGTCACAGATGGAAACCAGGACTGGGGAGGGAGGCTGGGGAGAAAGCATTGCTCAGAGTTTTGGGGACAGCTAGGGTCAGAGTTAGAATTCAGCCTCGTCTGCTCTGCTGAGACCACTTCACCGCTTCCCAGTGCCCCTGCTGTGGAACCATGAGGGGTGGCATCCCTGGCGAAGTGCCCACACCAGGATTCCTGCCTCCTCGGGCGTGTCTGGGGCCGGCTGCCTGGGGCAGGCGGGGTGGGAGTGAGGCCCTGACTCCTGTGTTTAGCTCCACCAGCATCACTTACTCTCTCCCCCAGGTGAAGAGAAGCCTCAGGCAAGCCCCGAAGGCCGTCCTGAGAGTGAGACTTCCTGCCTCGTCACAACAACAGGTGCGGGAGAAGACAAACGCTGGACCACAGAGGCCTAGTCCAAAAGGGCAGAGGTGACCAGGAGCCAGGCTCAGGGAGATAGGCGGAGGTGACCTGTAGGGGAGAAGCCCACAGCAGCCTCCTCTCCCTCTGAGCAGGGACAGGGCCTCAGCAACCTGCAGGCCCCAAAGCAAGTGTCAGAAAGAGGGAACCCAGGACCAGGACCAAGCACGGTCCCCAGGCAGAGATGGAACACCTTCCCTCACCACCACCACGTGTCTCCCACCAGCCTCTGAGCTTCTCATTCACAGAGACACCCTGACTTCCTTTAGCCTCGTGCTGTCCTAAAGTCACGGTAGCAGGAGTGTCTCTCTTTATCTCTTTTTCACAGATTTTCAAATACAGACAGAAATGGCTGCAACCATGGAGACGTCCATATTTACAACAGAGTACCAGGTAGCAGGTGAGTGGGGCACTGGCTTTGTGGACAAAATGTACACCAGGCTGAGATATGGACAGGTTGACTGGTTAGTAGGTTGGTTAGTTGGTTGGCTGGTAGGTTGGTTAGTTGGTTGACTGGTAGGTTGATAGGTAGGTTGGCTAGTTGATTGGTAAGTTGGTTCGTAGGTTGGGAGGTTAGTTGGTTAGTTGGTTGGTTGCTTGGTTGGCAGGTTGGTTTGTATGTTGGTAGGTTAGTTGATTGGTTGGTAGGTTGGTAGATTGGCAGGTTGGTGGGTTAGTTGGTTAGTTGGTTGGTAGGTTGGTTGGCAAGTTGATAGGTTGGTTGGTGGGTTGGTTGATAAGTTGATAGGTTGGTTGGTAAGTTGATAGGTTGGTTGGTGGGTTGGTTGATAAGTTGATAGGTTGGTTGGTAGGTTGGTTGTTAGGGTGGTAGATTGGCAGGTTGGTTGGTAGTTTTGTTGGTAGTTTGGTTGGTTAGCTGGTTGGTTGGTTAGTGAGTTGGTTGGTAGATAGATTGGTAGATTGGTTGGTTGGTTAGTTTGTTGGTAGGTTAGTAGGTTTGTTAGTTGGTTAGTTGATTGGTAGGTTGGTTGGTTGACTGAAAGGACCCCTTCCTTACACTGCAGAATGTGTGAGTGAAAGACTAATCCAGATACTGACGTAACTCAGAATTCGCATGAACCAGTTACAGGATGCTGTGAGCAAAGTCTCAAGTCAGCCCTATCAGCTCCTCTCAAGCTGATCTGGAAGGGCTGTACCCCGGGCCTCTGCCAGGGGTCAAGAGTGGGAGGAAGGAGCCACGTAGCCAGTCAGAGAGGACAGGCTTCCAGAAACACTGCCATTGTTTCCTGGTAGGAGGGAAAAACAGACTCTGAGTCTGCATCTGCCTAGAAAGTAAACAAATGTCAGCCTCCAAAACCTCAGCAGAGCAGCATCTGGAAAACCCGACCTCTTTCAGGAGATGTTAATGTGCTTCTCATCATCTTCATATTTCAACATTTCTTTTACCAGGCGCTCTCGGTGTCCTTAAACGAGGCCTGGCCTCTGAGCCTTTCTGAGGGGCTTTTGTGAGAGAAGGGTGCCTCCTGAGGGGAAGCTCCCTCCACCCTCACCCTGTCCTCCCTGCCCTGTTCCTCAAGACTCCTAGGAAATCCCATGGGGAGGGACCTACTTCCTGAGACAGGGAAGAGAGGCTGCAGCCTCCGCCTTGCTCTTTGGGGATGTCCTCAGCCTGCCCTGTGGCCCTGGCTCCTGCTGCCCCCATGCCAAGCCCAGGGCCCTTTGCTGAACTCCCTCTCTCTATTGACAGTGGCCGGCTGTGTTTTCCTGCTGATCAGCGTCCTCCTCCTGAGTGGGCTCACCTGGCAGCGGAGACAGTAAGTGTGGCATCACCAAGGCAGCCCTTGGTCAGATCAAAGTCCTGTACCCAGCCCCACCCTGCCTCCCCCCTACCCCCTCCATGCTCTCTCTAATCACCTGCAGTTCAGGGAGTGGCAAAGGGAGAGGCCAATCCATGCCTCGGAAAGAGTCAGTTAAAAAGAATTAAAGCACCGCCGGGTGCAGTGGCTCACGCTGGTAATCACAACACTTTGGGAGGCCAAGGCTGAGTGGATCACCTGAGGTCAGGAGTTTGAGACAAGCCTGGCCAACATGGCAAAACCCCATCTCTACTAAAAATACAAAAAATCAGTTGGGCATGGTGGCAGGTGCCTGTAATCCCAGCTACTTGGGCGGCTGAGGCAGGAAGATTGCTTGAACCTGGGAGGCGGAGGTTGCAGTGAACAGAAATCTCACCACTGCACTCCAGCCTGGGTGACAGAGCAAGACTCTGTCTCAAAAAAAAAAAAAAAAAAAAATTAAACGACCAGGGAAATGGGAAGGCAAAGGAGCCTCACATTCATTGAGCACCCACTATACACCAGGCTTGATGCTTGTTTTATAAACATTATTGAAATCTACCTTCTCAGAAACCTTTGGAATAGCTGTGGCCTAGAGAGATGCAACAGCTTGGAGAAGATGGCACAGCAGAGGCCAGCACTGCAACATGAATCTAGAGCCCATGATTTTCCCACCCAGCCCCTACCTATAGAGGACCCAGGGCAGCATCTATGCTGAGCTTTGCCTATCCTGTGCTCCCCACCCTCCCGTCCACAGAAGCTCACACCGGCATCCCCTTGACCAGGAATGTAAACCATGTGTGGTCTTTTTGCATTAACTCAGATTTTCAACCCTGCATGCATCTTAGAACATCCAGGAGACAGTCTTCTAAAATACCAGTGAGTGGCAAGATATGAGTAAATTCCACAGGAAAAGGAAGGCAGTCCAAAGGGCTGTGCTTCTCCTGTGGCTCAGTGTTATTCATAGCTGTGACATCTTTTAAGAGAGGTTTACAAGAGGGAAATCCTGTCACCAAAACCATTGTGACCCACTTTGAATTTGGGGGGAATCTTCATTTGCAACAATAGAAGAACAAATTTGTTGCAATAGGAAATATTTTTGTAGCTTATGTAGGTTGTTCAGCCAAAACAGCATAATAATTTAAAAAGTTAAAAGATAGCCCAGGAGTTGTGGCTCATGCCTGTAATCCCAGCACTTTGGGAGGCTGAGGCAGGTGGTTACCTGAGGTCAGGAGTTCAGGACCAGGCTGGACAACATGCTGAAACCCTGTTTCTACTAAAAAATACAAAAATAAGCCAGGCGTGGTGGTGGGTGCCTGTAATCCCAGCTACTTGCGAGGCTGAGACAGGAGAATCACTTGAACCCAGGAGGCGGAGGTTGCAGTGAGCCAAGATCGCGCCACTACACTCCAGCCTGGGCAACAAGAGTGAAACTCTGTCTCAAAAAAAAAAAAGAAAAAGGTAAAAGATATCAATGATTGGGCTCCAGTCAGAATGTCTGGGGTGAGCCCAAGACATCAGTACGTATTTTTAATTGAGATAAAATTCATCATTTAACCATCATAAAATGTACAGTTCAGTGGTGTCTTAGCCCATTTTGTGCTACTGTAACAGAATGCCTGAGACTGGGTAACTTATAAAGAACAGAGATTTATAAAGAACAGAGATTTATAACTTATAAAGAACAGAGATTTCTTACCATTCTGGAGGCTGGGAAGTCTGAGGTCGAGGGGCCCCCATGTATCAAGGGCGTTTGTGCTACGTCATCCTGTGGCAGAAGGCAGAAGGGCAAGAGAGTGAGAGACAGCAGGAGGGGCTGAACTCAGCTTTTATCACAAACCCACTCCTGCAATAACAACATTAATCCATTCATGAGGCAGAGCCCTCGCGACCTGATCACCTCTTCAAGATCTCACCTGTCAACATTGCTGGATTAGGGATTAAGTTTCCAACACCTGAGCTCTGGGGGATGTATTCAAACCACAGTAAGTGGTATTTAGTATGTTTGCAATGTTGTACAGCCATCCCCACTGATTCCAGAATACTTCCATCATTCCCAAGAGAAGCCCCACACTGCCAAGTTCCCCATTCTCCCCAGCCCCGGGAAACCACCACTCTATGTTCCGTCTCTATGGATTTGCCTATTCTGGACATTTCGTGTAAATGGAATCACGTGGCCTTTTATGTCTGGGATAGTCGTACGTTTTAAAGCCCCTCAGATGTATCTAATACATATGCATCCAGGTTTGACAACCCTACACCCGGCCATTGGTTTTCAAACTTGAACTAGCACCAGAATCATCTGTAGGAACATAAAGAAACGATAAATGTTTGAGATGATGGATATGCTAAATACCATGATCTGATCACTGTACCTTGTAGGTATCAAAGCATCCCTACATACCTCATAAATATATATAACTATTATGTGTCAACTTAAAAACATTTGTTGAAAGAATCATCTGGAGGCCTTGTTAAAGCACAGATTGCTGGGTCCCACCTGTGGAGTTTCTGACGCAGTCGTCTTGCTTAGGTCCAGGAATCTGTATTTCTATCAGGTTCCCAGGTGATACTGACGCTGCCGTTCCAGGGAGCAGACTCTGAGGATCACCGCACTAGGCTAACAGCATTAAGAATCAGGGAAGCTGGCCAGACTCACGCTTGTAATCCCAGCACTTTGGGAGGCCGAGGCAGGCGGATTACTTGAGGTCAGGAGTTTGAGACCAGCCTGGCCAACATGGAGAAACCCTGTCTCTTCTAAAAATACAAAAATTAGCTGGCTGTCATGGTGCGCACCTATAATCTTAGCTACTCGGGAGGCTGATGCAGGAGAATCGCTTGAACCCAGGAGGCAGAGGCTGCAGTGAGCTGAGATCGTACCACTGCACTCCACCCTGGGTGACACAGCAAGACTCTGTTTAAAAAAAAAAAGAAAGAAAGAAAAAAGAAAAGAAAGAAAAAGAAAAAGTAAACTCTAGAAACTCCCTCTGTCTCTCTCTTGATTATCCAGGGCCTCCCTGACCCCTGCCAGCATCCACTCTGGCCAACCCTGATACAAACTCCACAGTAAGACCCTGAGAAAATACAGATCCACTCCCCCAAAACCAAAGCCCTTAGCCCAGCCAGAGAGAAAAATAAAATATCTCTTCCCTTCTTATATGGGTCATCAGGTCCATAACATACTCCTAATTTTCCTCATGGGAATTAAAAAGTATAAATTACTGCAGTGCAAATGATAAGCCCCCTAGGGTTATTGTAGCAGGAATGATTCATATACCCGGCAGTCTACCAGTTTCTCTAAGGGGTTAGCTGACTCCTAAGGTGTCATTTTAGGCTTCCAGGAGGGGAAGGATGTGACGTGGCTGACATGTTGTACGTGTACTCAGTACTTGCATCCTCTCCTTCCTCAGGCTGAACACCTGACAAGCCTTAACACCTTGCAAGGATTTTTTTCATTTGTTAGTTTGAAGATCAAAAGCCTTCGGGCCCAGAGGACAAAGCTATTTGGAAGTAGGAATGGTTCAGTGTTTATGTTGTGAAACAAATAACTGTGTGAACCTATGTGAGTTCCCACAAGGTCTCCCAGAACTACAATCTTTGGGGAGACTCAAACATACATCTAGAAATGACCCCTCTAGTCAGTTTGTCCAAAAGCCTTCCTAGAATCTGATATCAACCCATGGTGCCCTCTTGTGGCAACAGAAATGCTGCATTTGAATTACCGAAAGATCACTGTAGCCCAGCCAGAGAGTTTTGGTTGGGGAAATATTTTTTGTTTGTTTCGGGCAATGACCAGGAGCCCGTGATGTGCTACAGAAGGCTCACAGTGGCTTGTGAGAGCCAGCGGTTAAATTTTCGGGACTTCTGCAAACTGGTTTTTAAGCATAGCCATTATGGAAAATTAAAGTATTTAGGCTGGGAGCAGTAGCTCCTGCCTGTAATTCCTGCACTTCGGGAGACTAAGGTGAGAGGCTCGCTTGAGACCAGCCTGGGCAACAAAGTGAGACCTTGTCTCTACAAAAACATTTTAAACTTAGCTAGGCGAGGTGGCACATACCTGTAGTCCCAGCTACTGGTAAGGGCGAGGTGGGAGAATCCCTTGAGTCCAGCAGTTCAAGATTGCAGTGAGCTGTGACCATGCCACTGCACTGCAGCCTGGGTGACAGATTGAGACGCTGTCTCAAAAAAAAAAAAAAAAATTAAAATATTTAAATTTACAATTTAATAAATTATATTAAAAACAAAGGCAAGAATTACTTACAACTGATCACTTCCTAATTATTTGCTACCTTTTACTGTTATCTTTGTTCGCTGGGTGGTTTACATCTATTGTGTCCGCATGGTGGAAATACCGTTTGACGGTGGCTACCGCGCATCTCTTCCCAACCGCGTGATCAGTGATGTCACATTGCCAGCTGGAAGCTGTGTGTGGAGGGAGGATTGACACCAGGGAAGACAGGCAACCGTCATCAGAGAGCTGCTTGTTAAACATCACCAGCACACCTCTGCTTGGAGTCTTGTGCTATGGGAACTCTGTGCAAAGTAGGGAGTAATTAGAAATTCCCATGAGCCAAATAAGAACTGGGAAAAGGCTAAGACCGTATTGTCCAATACAGTAGCCACTAGCCACCTGTGGATACTTAAGTGTATTTAAACTCAAATAAATTAAATACAATTAAAAATTCAGTTCCTCGGTTGCACTAGCCACATTTCAAGCGTTCCCTAGCCACAGGTGTCTGTGTTATCGGACAGCACAACTGCAAAAGATTTCCATCATCTCAGAAAGTTCTATAGCACAGTGCTGGCTAGAAACCAAGTGCTTTACTGCATGCACATCATTTAGCACAGTTAGTTGCTGTTTATTATTCCTGTTCCACAGCTATTGTCTGCCATATAAAAACTTAGGCCAGGCACAGTGGCTCACACCTGTAATCCCAGCACTTTGGAAGGCCGAGGCAGGCAGATCACAAGGTCAGGAGTTCGAGACCAGCCTGGCCAACATAGCAAAACCCCATCTCTACTAAAAATACAAAAATTAGCCAGGCATGGTGGCGTGTGCACTGGTTTAGAGTGAGGACCACATTTTTTTGGTGCCGTGTTACACATATGACCGTGACTTTGTTACACCACTACAGGAGGAAGAGTAGAAGAACAATCTAGAAAACCAAAAGAACAAGAATTTCTTGGTAAGAAGCCGGGAACAGACAACAGAAGTCATGAAGCCCAAGTGAAATCAAAGGTGCTAAATGGTCGCCCAGGAGACATCCGTTGTGCTTGCCTGCGTTTTGGAAGCTCTGAAGTCACATCACAGGACACGGGGCAGTGGCAACCTTGTCTCTATGCCAGCTCAGTCCCATCAGAGAGCGAGCGCTACCCACTTCTAAATAGCAATTTCGCCGTTGAAGAGGAAGGGCAAAACCACTAGAACTCTCCATCTTATTTTCATGTATATGTGTTCATTAAAGCATGAATGGTATGGAACTCTCTCCACCCTATATGTAGTATAAAGAAAAGTAGGTTTACATTCATCTCATTCCAACTTCCCAGTTCAGGAGTCCCAAGGAAAGCCCCAGCACTAACGTAAATACACAACACACACACTCTACCCTATACAACTGGACATTGTCTGCGTGGTTCCTTTCTCAGCCGCTTCTGACTGCTGATTCTCCCGTTCACGTTGCCTAATAAACATCCTTCAAGAACTCTGGGCTGCTACCCAGAAATCATTTTACCCTTGGCTCAATCCTCTAAGCTAACCCCCTTCTACTGAGCCTTCAGTCTTGAATTTCTAAAAAACAGAGGCCATGGCAGAATAATCTTTGGGTAACTTCAAAACGGGGCAGCCAAACCCATGAGGCAATGTCAGGAACAGAAGGATGAATGAGGTCCCAGGCAGAGAATCATACTTAGCAAAGTTTTACCTGTGCGTTACTAATTGGCCTCTTTAAGAGTTAGTTTCTTTGGGATTGCTATGAATGATACCCTGAATTTGGCCTGCACTAATTTGATGTTTACAGGTGGACACACAAGGTGCAAATCAATGCGTACGTTTCCTGAGAAGTGTCTAAAAACACCAAAAAGGGATCCGTACATTCAATGTTTATGCAAGGAAGGAAAGAAAGAAGGAAGTGAAGAGGGAGAAGGGATGGAGGTCACACTGGTAGAACGTAACCACGGAAAAGAGCGCATCAGGCCTGGCACGGTGGCTCAGGCCTATAACCCCAGCTCCCTAGGAGACCAAGGCGGGAGCATCTCTTGAGGCCAGGAGTTTGAGACCAGCCTGGGCAGCATAGCAAGACACATCCCTACAAAAAATTAGAAATTGGCTGGATGTGGTGGCATACGCCTGTAGTCCTAGCCACTCAGGAGGCTGAGGCAGGAGGATTGCTTGAGCCCAGGAGTTCGAGGCTGCAGTCAGTCATGATGGCACCACTGCACTCCAGCCTGGGCAACAGAGCAAGATCCTGTCTTTAAGGAAAAAAAGACAAGATGAGCATACCAGCAGTCCTTGAACATTATCAAAAAGTTCAGCATATTAGAATCACCGGGAGGCCTTGTTAAAAGAGTTCGCTGGGCCCATCTTCAGAGTCTCTGAGTTGTTGGTCTGGAATAGAGCCAAATGTTTTGTGTGTCTAACAATTCCCAGGTGCTGTTGCTGCTGCTACTATTCCAGGAACACACTTTGAGAACCATTGTGTTATTGCTCTGCACGCCCACCCACTCTCAACTCCCACGAAAAAAATCAACTTCCAGAGCTAAGATTTCGGTGGAAGTCCTGGTTCCATATCTGGTGCAAGATCTCCCCTCACGAATCAGTTGAGTCAACATTCTAGCTCAACAACATCACACGATTAACATTAACGAAAATTATTCATTTGGGAAACTATCAGCCAGTTTTCACTTCTGAAGGGGCAGGAGAGTGTTATGAGAAATCACGGCAGTTTTCAGCAGGGTCCAGATTCAGATTAAATAACTATTTTCTGTCATTTCTGTGACCAACCACATACAAACAGACTCATCTGTGCACTCTCCCCCTCCCCCTTCAGGTATATGTTTTCTGAGTAAAGTTGAAAAGAATCTCAGACCAGAAAATATAGATATATATTTAAATCTTACTTGAGTAGAACTGATTACGACTTTTGGGTGTTGAGGGGTCTATAAGATCAAAACTTTTCCATGATAATACTAAGATGTTATCGACCATTTATCTGTCCTTCTCTCAAAAGTGTATGGTGGAATTTTCCAGAAGCTATGTGATACGTGATGATGTCATCACTCTGCTGTTAACATATAATAAATTTATTGCTATTGTTTATAAAAGAATAAATGATATTTTTTAAAAAGTCTTGGTTTTTATTATAAATATGATAAATATTGCTAGCTATAATCTACATAACCAAAAACCTTTATAGTTTTTTGGTGCTTTTTTTTTGTTTTTTTGTTTTTTTTTTTTTTGAGATGGAGTGTTGCTCCGTTGCCCAGGCTGGAGTGCAGTGCACAATCTCGGCTCACTGCAGCTTCTGCCTGCTGGGTTCAAGTGATTCTCTTGCCTCAGCCTCCCAAGTAGCTGGGACTACAGGCACCCACCACCAAGTCCAGCTAATTTTTGTATTTTTAGCAGAGACGGGGTTTCACCATGTTGGCCAGGCTGGTCTCGAACTCCTCACCTCAAGTGATCCACCCAACTCAGCCTCCCAAAGTGGTGGGATTACAGGCGTGAGCCACGGCACCCAGCCTGGTATCCTCTATAGTTTTTAATAGTTTTAAATAACATGCAAAGATCCTGTGAAATGGCCAACAAGCACATCAACATCACTGGTCATTTCAGAAATGCGAATCAAAACCACAATGAGATACTACTTCATACCCATTAAGATGACTTTAAGAAAAAGAATAGGAATGCTCACAGATGGCTGGTAGGAATGTCAAAATGTGCAGCCACTGTGCAAAACAGAGTCTGTTTTGGCAGTTCCTCAAAAAGCTAAACATAAATTTGTCCTATAACCCAGCAATTGTATTCCTAGGTACACACCCAAGAAAGACAAAAACGTGTCTAAATACAAACTTGTACACGACTCTTTATAACAGCATTATTCATACTCACCAAGAGGTAGAAACACCCAAATACCCAACAACAAAGGGATGGATAAAGGCCGGGCATGGTGGCTCATGCCTGTAATCCCAGCACTTTGGGATGCCAAGGTGGGCAGATCATTTGAGGCCAGGAGTTGGAGACCAGCCTGGCCAACATGGTGAAACCTCATCTCCACTGTCTCTACTAAAAATACAAAAAATTAGCTGGTCATAGTGGCGCGCATCTATAATCCCAGCTGCGTGGGAGGCTGAGGCACGAGAATCCCTTGAACCTGGGAGGCAGAGGTTGCAGTGAGCCAAGATGGTGCCACTGCACTCCAGCCTGGGCGACAGAGGGACTCTTCTCTCCAAAAAAAAAAAAAAAAAAGAATTGATAAGCAAATCATGGCATATCCCTGCCAGTGGAGTATTAGCCACAGGAAGGGATGAAGTATTGATCCATGCTGCCATTTAGATGAACCTCAAAAACATTATGCTGAGTGAAGGAAGCCAGACACAAAAGATCACTACTGTATGACTCATTTAACATGAAATATCTAGAATAGGCAATTCCATGGAGACAGAAAGCAGATAAGTGTTTGCCAGGGGATTTTTCTGGGGTGGTAAAAAAGTTTTGAAACTAGAGGGAGGAGGTAGTTGCACAACATGTTGAATACACGAACAGCCACTGGATTGTATACTTTATCATGGTTAATTGTGTGTTATGTGAATTTCGCCTCAACTTTTTAAAAAGGAGATCCTGAGGCCAAAATATTTAAATATTGCTTATCTTATTCTTGATGCTCAAAGAAGGGTCATCAGCCCAGAAGGATCCTCCTGAAGTCTTTATGGTGACTTTAGTATTCTACTAAGTGAGTTATCAGGGGACCCTGAATTTTTGTTTTCAAAAACCAAAATTAGCATATTACTAAAGTTTATGGAAGACTCCACTTTGGTATTCTATCGAGAACGTAAAATTTGCATAGCTCCCAGGAAGGCTGCTGTTCCTGATGCATCACCAGAACTATCGTGAGTTGGTTTCAGTTTTTACTCGCTGGTATTCCTTCAGCTAAATGATGAATTCCTGCCAGTGATTTTCATGGAGGGGTTGTGTTGGCTGGCTCCCAACGTGCATAATCAATTAATTTGCTGTGGGTTGAAAATCTGAACAAACTGAAAGTCAATAACTCTTCTTAGGTCTGTAGAAGTAAGTAAGATTACAGGGTAGCTCACTGTCCCCAATATTGGAGAGGCAGACAGGCTGATACAGGGAAATCATAACCTCCTGGACCAGAAACCCAGGAACAAACCCTGCTACTGGAACCAGCAGAGGGGCAGGAAAACCTAAACTGGAACTGACAAATTGCTGGAGGCTCAGTGTGGACACTTCTGAGAGATAAAAATTTCAGGGGAGCAACCCAGTCACAGGGGGTCCCCACTTTCATGACCTTTCCCTCCAGGAACTCAATGAGGTCTTCACAGTGAAGATGGGAGAAAAACTTCCTTGTGCTTTTGACGGGGGAAAGAGAAAAGGTACTGTCACACGCATCCGTGTGAAGAGAGTCCACCAACAGGCTTTGTGTGAGCAACAAGGCTGTTTATTTCACCTAGGTGCGGGCGGGCTGAGTCCGAAAAAGGATTCAGCAAAGGGTGGTGGGATTATCATTAGTTCTTATAGATTTGGGATAGGCATACAAAGTACATTCACAAGGGTGGGGAGAATATTACAAAGTACCTTCTTAAGGTCAGGGGAGAACATATCGTATCAGTTAGGGTGGGGCAGGAACAAATCACAATGGTGGAATGTCATCAGTTAAGGCTATTTTCACTTCTTTTGTGGATCTTCAGTTGCTTCAGGCCATCTGGATGTATACGTGCAGGTCACAGGGGATATGATGGCTTAACTTGGGCTCAGAGGCCTGACAGGTACCATTCTGAAATATGCCAGAGCATTCAGTACTTGTCCAACAAGGCCTGCCCTCAAGAAACAGTATTTTCCTCACTATCTTAAATTTTACCATAGTCTAACCAACCTAAATTTTACCAGTGTCTAACCAACCTGAAAGAAGGGAAATAACCAGCTCTAGCCTCTCTGCCCTTCTTGTCTCATCTAAGGGAGGAGGCGAATGAAAAGCACTTGTGAAGGTCACAGCCCAGGGGTACAGGCTTGCTGAAGGCTGAACCTAATCATAAGACTATGGAATGGTTCCCCTCCCCCTGCACCTTACCACCACATCAGTGGGGCTGTTGTGCGCTCACAGGGGACTACAGTGGAAACAACTGCACATTTCAGTCCCTCTTTAAGAAGCAGTCTCTAGGGAAGCCCAAAGATGAGAGGGGAGACAAAAACAAAGACACTAGAGGGAATTTTAGCCTCTGACATCTACAGCTACAGCAAATAGCAAACACAGCCTAACTCCTAACCAGGTAAACATAAAGGCTCACACTAAAGGCCTATTTACCTTGGTTCCTTTTATGCTGTATATCAGGTCCAGCTTTCAACAAAAAATTACAAGGCATGCTAAATGGCAAAAAAACACAGATTAAAGAGGCAAAGCAAGCATTGTAACCAGACTCGGATACTACCATGTTGGAATTATCAGACTGGGAATTTAAAACAACTACACAAATAAGCCATTATGACAGAGATTTCTATGGTCCTGTAGATCCATTCTTCCCTTCCACCATCAGTAATAAAATCCCCAAATTTTAACCCAACACATTTCTGCCCCTAGCTAAAGACAACACTTTCTAGCCTCCCTTGCAGCTAAGTGTGGTCATGTGACTAAATTTGGATGAGATGTAAACCAAAAAGTATCTGAGACAGGTCTAAATCCATTCAGAGGTTTATATTGCCAAGATTAAAGACCATGACCTGTGATACAGCATCAGGAGTTCCTGAGAACATGTGACCAAGGTGGTTGAGTTACAGCTGGGTTTGATATTAATGCATTTTAAGGAGACAGAAATTATAGGCGAAGACATAAAGCAATACATGTAAGGTATACATTGGTTCAGCCTAGAGAGGTGGGACATGTCAAAGTGGGAGGCTTCCAGGTCATAGTTGATTCAAAAGTTTTCCGATTGGCAATTGGTTGAAAGAGTTAAGCTTTGCCTGAGGAGTTGAAGTCAGTAAAAAGAAATGCTTGAGTTAAGATAAGGGGAGTGGGGTTGTGGAAGACACTGTCCTTGTCATGTACACGAAGCTTCCAGATAGCAGGCTTCAGAGAGAATAGAGAGCACATATATCTTATTGGAACTTAACAGACGTCAGACTCTCTGGAAAAGACCCATTAAGAGAAGGGAGATTCCTCCAGTATGAAAATTAAGAGACAGCTTTGCAGGGCCACTTCAAAATATGTCAAAAAATATTTTGGGGTAAAATAATTTTATTTCCTTCTTGGCCTGTTATATGTCATGTGATGCTATACCAGAATCAAGCTGGGATTGGGTATCTTGTTGCTAAAGCATCTGTTTCTTAGGTCTTATGATCTCTATTTTAATGTAATCCTGGTCAGTTGATGCCTGAATTCCAAAGGAAGGGATTACAATGAGGCGTGTCAACCCCCCCACTTCTTGTCATGACCTGAACTAGTTTTTCAGTTTCTTGGGGATGCCCTTGGCCAAAAAGGGGCTCATTTAGTCAGTTGGGGGCTTAGAATTTTATGTTTGGTTTACAGAGATATGAGCAGAAGGGACGTGTGTGACGCCCAGGGTGTGCCCTTGAAGAGAATGTGCACACCCTCCTTCATCTCCTCTCACTGGTGGCTGCGTGCTCTTGCTCTCGTGAGCTAGAACCACCGGGAGGATAGAAGTCACACATGAAGCCTGAGAGGGAAAAAAAAATCCAAGGAGGCTGGGAGTCTGACCCCATGAGGTGCCCCAGCAGCAGTGCACACACTCAGACTGCATATGAGACAGAAATAACCCTCCCATTTGCTGCGATTTTTGCCCTTGTTAGGGCAGCATCCTAACTGTATCAATCACCCACACTCCTACTAAAATGACACCCTCGGCTATCGTTTGGATATGGTTTTGTTACCACAAAGGGGTCCTGCTCCAGACCACAAGAGAGGGTTCTTGGATCTCATGCAAAAAAGAATTCAGGACGAGTCTGTAAAGTAAAGTGAAACAAGTTTATTAGGAAAGTAAAGGGATAAAAGAATGGCTACTCCATAGACAGAGCAGTTCCGAGGGCTGCTGGTTACCTATTTTTATGGTTATTCCTTGATGATACGCTAAACAAGGGGTGGATTATTCATGCCTCCCCTTTTGAGACCATATAGGGTAACTTCCCGATGTTGCCATGGCATTTGTAAACTGTCATGGCAGCGGTGGGAGTGTAGCAGTGAGGACAACCAGAGGTCACTCTTGTCTCTATTTTGGTTTTGGTGGGTTTTAGCCGGCTTCTTTACTGCAACCTGTTTTATCAGCAAGGTCTTTATGACCTGTATCTTGTGCCAAACTCCTGTCTCATCTTGTGACTTAGAATGCCTTAACCATGTGGGAATGCAGCCCAGTAGGTCTCAGCCTTAGTCTATCCAGCCCCTATTCAAGATGGAGTTGCTCTGGTTCAAACACCTCTAACAGTTGTTTATCCCAAGCAAATCTCATGTTGGACTGTGATTCCCAGTGTTGGAGGTAGACCTAATAAGAGGTGTTTGTGTCATGAGGGTGGATCCTTCATGAATAGATGATTGCCCTCCCTGGGTGAGGGGGGTGAGTGAGTGCTCATTCTATTCATTCCCGTGAGAGCTGGTTGTTAAAAAGAGCCTGGCATCTCCCCCCACCCTTTCTTCCTCTCTCACCATGTGACCTCTGCACACAACAGCCCCCCTTCACCTCCCACCAGGAGCAGAAGCAGCCTAAGACCTTTCCCAGTGTAGATGCCCAATCTTGAACTTTCCAGACACCAGAACTGTGAGGCAAATAAAACTTTTTCTTTATAAATGATTCAGTCTCCAGCGGGGCATGGTGGCGCACACCTGTAATCCCAGCTACTCGGAGGCTGAGGCAGGAGAATCACTTGAACCCAGGAGTTGGAGGTTGCAGTGAGCAGAGATCGCGCCACTGCACTCCATCCTGGCCACAGAGCGAGACTCTGTCAAAAAAAAAAAAAAAGAGAGAGAGAGAGGGAGAGAGAGAGAAAGGAAGGAAGGAAGGAAGGAAGGAAGGAAGGAAGGAAGGAAGGAAGGAAAAAAGCAAAGAAAGAAAGAAAGAAAGGAAAGAAAGAAAGCAAAGAAAGAAACAAAGAAAGAAAAAGAAAGAAAGAAAGAAAGAAAAGGAAGGAAGGAAGAAAGAAAGAAAGAAAGAAAGAAAGAAAGAAAGAAAGAAAGAAAGAAAGAAAGACCAGTCTCAGGTATTCTCAGGTTACAGCAACACAAAACAGACTAAGACACCCTCTCCACCAAAATTCTGTTTGTATAGCATATTAGTATCAAAATCTTTTCAATGGAAAATGGACTCCAGAATCAATATTCAACATGACAGCAGAGTTTCAAGTAAATACATGTTTTCTGTTCCATAAATATTATCTGAAAAAGATTTCCCTACAGGAGATAAACAAGTAGATAAGATAAAATAACATTGGTTCTCTTTATTAATTTGAATACTCCCCTACTTTTCTTCAGAAAATCACTGCATTCATTCTCCAACACCCCTGAAGCCTTTCTGAAATGTTGGCTCACATGGAGATGTTCCTTTTGCCTGATGTCTTCTGGCTAAGTCAGAAACTGCAAAGGGAAACCTGCTGAAGTTTTAAAAACTTTTCCCTGTTATTTCCGTTTCTCCTCTTAAAGAGTGCAGTGCGAAACACGTGTCCTCTTCTTCTACGATGTTGATGAACATACCTTCAGAGCTAGCCTATTGATATGAAGGTAAGGATGAAAAGAAATCTGTTATCTCAGGGCAGTAGGATTATCAAGCACCATATCAGCAAATGCATCACTCGAAACTAAATTGTAAATATAGCCATGCACCGCATAACAATGTTTTCATCAACAACAGACTGCATATACACGACAGTGGTTCCATAAGATTATAATACCATATTTTTACCATACCTTTTCCATGTTTAGACACACAAATACGGCCAGGCGCAGTGGTTCACATCTGCAATCCCAGCACTTTGGGAGGCCAAGGCGGGTGGATCATCTGCGGTCAGAAGTTCCACACCAGCCTGACCAACATGGTGAAACCCCGACTCTACTAAAAATACAAAGTTAGCCAGGTGTGGTGGCGCATGCTTGTAATCCCATCTACTTGAGAGGCTGAGGCAGGAGAATCGCTCGAACCTGGGAAGCGGAGGTTGCAGTGAGCCAAGATTACACCGTTGCACTCCAGCCTGGGCAACAGAGTGAGACTCTCTCTCAAACAAACAAACAAACAAACAAAAAGATACACAAATATATACCTTAGTATCACAATTGCCTGCAGTATTCAGTATAGTAACCTGCTTTACAGGTTTGTAGCTAGGGACGACAGGCTATAGCAGCCCCAGAGTGCAGTAGGCTCTACCATCTAGGTTTGTGTAAGTTCACTCTGCGACGTTTGCACAAAAACAAAATCACCTAACAATGCATTTCTCAGAAAGTATCCCCATCATTAAGTGACTCGTGACTGTAATAGAAAATGAAAACCCACTGTCTCTCATAACTGTGTACCCTCCAGTGGTGCTTCCTGCATGGCTCAGCAACCTTATCAAGAACCTGGTTATGGGTATTTTTTCTTCTCTCTTTTCTGTCTCCAATGATGTCAAATTTATTCAAAGACCAGCTTAGCCTCGTGATAGCCAACAGGTTGTAGCTATTCCAGAATTAATATCAGATTATCACATCTAGAAATAAGAAAAGACATAAGGTTCCCTCGTTGGAGCTTCCAGCAAATGTCTTCTCCAGTCTTGTTGACTCAAACTAGGTTTCATATCTACTCCTGCACTGTGACCAGAAGATGTGAGATGATTCTGATTTCGTAAGGCCCAAGCCACAGACCTCACTCCTAGAACCAGTAATAAAGAGAAGATCTTAAAAGCAGCCAGAGAAAAACGAACCTTTGCAGAGAAATATAAATAAGGACGACAGCCAGACCCGATGGCTCATGCCTATAATCCCAGCACTTTGGGAGGTCGAGGCAGGTGGATCACTCGAGGTCAGGAGTTGAGACTAGCCTGGCCAACATGGTGAAATCTTGTCTTTACTAAAAATACAAAAATTAGCCAGGCATGGTGGCACATCCCTGTAATCCCAACTACTCAGCAGACTGAGGCAGGAGAATCACTTGAACCCAAGAGGTGGAGGTTGCAGTGAGCCAAGATCGCACCACTGCACTCCAGCCTGGGTGGCAGAGTGAGATTCTGTCTCAAAATAAATAAATAAATGCAGATTTCTCTCTGGTAACAGTATAAGTGGAGCAATATCTTTAAACTACTGAAAGAAAAAACTGTCAACCTAAAGTTCTATATGCAGGGAAAATAGCCTTCAAAAATGAAGATGAAATAAGTATTTTTAGACATATAAAAGTTGAAAGACTTCATAACCAGCAGGCTTACATGCCAATAAATATTAAAGGACTCGGCTAAAATTTCACTGGGTTGAATAATGTCTCCCCAGAATTCATGCCTACTTGGAACCGACAAATGTGGCCTTGTTTGAAAATAGAATCTTTGGAAATGTAACAAGTTAAGATGAAGTCATACCAGATTAGGGTGGACCTTAAACCCAATATGACTGGTGTTCTCATAAGAAGAGGGAAATCTGGACGCAGACCCACACAGAGGGAAGACAGCCAGGTGAAGACAGAGTCAGAGATTGGAGGATTTTTTTTTTTTTTTGAGACAGAGTCTCACTCTGTCACTTAGGCTGGAGTACGGTGGCACCATCTCTGCTCACTGCAGCCTCTGCCTCCCGGGCTGAAGAGATTCTCATGCCTCAGCCGCCCAAGTTGCTGAGATTAGACGTGTATGCCACGACACCTGGCTAATTTTTGTATTTTTTTGAGTAGAGACCGGGTTTTGCCATATTTCTCAGGCTGGTTTCAGACTCCCGGTCTCAAGTAATCCACTTGCCTTGGCCTCCCAAAGTGCTGGGTTAGAGAAGTGAGCCACTGCGCCCCGCTGGAGAGGTTGGAGCTTGATGCCACGAGCTGAGGAACACCAAGGATTGTCAGCAATAATCAGGTTATACACTGTTTGACTCCATTTATATAAATTTCTAGAAAATCCCAACTGCCCTATAGTGACAGAAAGCAGATCAAACACTGTCAGGGGAAGATGACAAAGGAACATTATCTTGATTGTGGTTTTAGGGGTGTGTACTCATGCCAAAACTTACCAAACTGTGTACTTCGAATATGTGCAGTTTTTCAATGTTCACTAAACCCCCAATAAAACTCTTTCTCAAAAAATTACCTGTTTGAAATTCCTAGCCAGGTTCTGTTTTTTGGACTGGCCCCTGAGTGAATCTCTCCTGGCCTCACCAGCCTGCAGGTCCAGATGAAACTGTGCTCTTGGTAATAACCCGTACATACACACACGATCTCCTTCAGAGCCTGCAGACTAAGGTGACGCCGTGTTCTTGGTAATAACCTGTAAATCACACACACACACACACACACACACACACACACACACACACACACACGCAGTCTCCTTCAGAGCCTGCAGGTTCAGATGAGACTGCAGTCTTGGTGATAACACACACACACACACACACACACACACACACACATGGTCTCCTTCAGAGCCTGCAGACTCAGGTGAGGCCATGTTCTTGGTAATAACCTGTAAATAACACACACACACACACACACACACACACACACACACACACACGCAGTCTCCTTCAGAGCCTGCAGGTTCAGATGAGACTGCAGTCTTGGTGATAACACACACACACACACACACACACACACACACATGGTCTCCTTCAGAGCCTGCAGACTCAGGTGAGGCCATGTTCTTGGTAATAACCTGTAAATAACACACACACACACACACACACACAGAGTCTCCTTCAGAGCTTGTAGGTTCAGATGAGACTGCACTCTTGGTGATAACACACACACACACACACACACACACACACACACACACACACACACGGTCTCCTTCAGATATTTTTAGGAGTCCACAGCATCCTGCAAGGCAGCCTTCCTGGGCTCCGCCTATGGGAGGGGAACACACTCCTCCTTCCCATTATATGTCGTATTTTATCACCTGGGCACTAAGACAAGTTACTGTGTCCTAGTGTCTCACAGAATCCTTTGTGAATCCTGCATCCCCGGCTTCTGCCACCAGCTTTGCTTTCCACAAGGTTTTGACACAGACCCATGGAAGAATCTCTGAGACAGGTACCAGGATGTCCTCTGCGTTCCTCCCTATTCTTCTCCCCCAGCCTCACTCCTCCAAAAATGCAACTAGAGTCACGGGTCCTGTCCCATATGTTTCCCAGAGGTGCCCAGATCAATCCCAATTCTAGGGGTGAACGCAGGTGGTCGGAAACCCCCGTCCACGTGCCTCACGATGAGGATGTAACACCATCTGCTAGGACCTCTGGACTCTAGGCTCTTCATGTGTTCATTTTACGAATATTTAACGGCACGCCTTAAGGAAACCCTAGACACAGGAGGCTCCATTGCCGTTGGGACAAAATGGCGTGTAAAGTGTTACAGTGTGGCAGAGTTCCCACATTAAGGCTCCACACCGTGTGCTCTGTTCCCATGCAACGCTTCCAGGCGGACTTGTGAGAACAAAGTCACCAGGTGCTCCTCTGTTGGGGGCCAGGAACACTCCACCAGGTGCAAAGCCCAAAAGGTGGGGAAACGGGAGACAGGCAGGAGAACTGGTTTCCTTCCCACCCAGGCCGCTCTCTGCTGTCACTGTGAAGGAAGAGGAAAGGAAAACAGAGATGGCGAAGTCTGTGCCCCAACTCTGTGCTTCTTGCTGCTTGGCAATTTGTGGAGGAAGGGTAGGTTCTAATAGGCAGAATCCATTCAGTTGTGATACCCAAAAGCCTAGGGCAGTCCGGCTGCGTTTTGGAAGCAGCAGCCAGGAGTACAAGTCCTGCCCACGGGAAGGAGGAAAAGCTGGAGAAAGCTTCAGACAGCCCTCTGAGGATCCCTCGGGCAAACGTGGCCTGAACGAGATCCAAATGTCCCCGCACTTCCAACTGGTGAGGGATGGCGAACTGAGAGCCTGAGCAGGCACACCTCCCAGGTATTAACAAGGGAGGGGCCTGGCTCCCCACCGATCCCCTGCAGACCCGCAGGCAGCTGGGGCCAGAGCTGCAGGCAGGTGTCCCTGCCAGGAACTGAACGGGCACCCGGGATCTACAGGTGCCACCCACTGGGAATCCTCAGCACCTGCAGACACCAGGGACAGAAATGGAGGGACCCCAGCCCGCCTCCCGTGTGTGGCCCATCGTAACCAAGCCGGGCCCCCTCCCCACAGGGCTCCCTGGGTGCGGACCCCTAACAGTAGCTCTCCAAGGAAGAGGGGAATGAAATCCTAAGGAGGGTTTTGAACCAAACTCTGACTGAATTAATAATTCACCTGAGAAATTACTGAAGTAGACAAGGGGAAAGACACAGAGTGGATACGGTTCAGTCAAGAGCCCCAGGCAGATCAGGGGTTTGGAAGGGGAAATGACGGGTCGGGACTCTCAAATATGCGTCTCCCCCCAGGTCCTGCAAGGACCGTCTGCCCACTCTACCCAGAAGAATCAAACGGCATCTCTCCTCCACGAACCACAACTGTGGGACTCACAGGCTTTTCTTTCCTCTTCTCCAGTAGTTTCCCTGCCCAGAGATGTCTCAGGGTTATCATTTTATTTTTTAATTTCTATTTTAGATTTGGGGGTGCATGTGCAGATGTGTTACGTGATTACGTTGCATGATGCTGAGGTCTGGACTTCTCATAAGGACGGTTAATCATTTAAAATTAATAAACCAGCCGGGCACAGTGGTTCCTGCCTGTAATCCCAGCACTTTGGGAGGCCAAGGTGGGAAGATCATTTGAGATCAGGAGTTCGAGACCAGCCTGGCCAACATGGCAAAACCCTATCTCTAATAAAAATACAAAACTTAGCTGGGCATGATGGTTCACACCTGTCATCCCAGCTACTTGGGAGGCTGAGGCAGGAGAATCGCTGGAACCTGGGAGGCAGAGGTTGCAGTGAACCGAGATTGCAACACTGCACTCCAGCCTGGGCAACAGAGACTCTGTCAAAAAAAAAAAAAAAAAAGAAAGAAAAAGAATTCTAAGGGCTAGCCATCAAACCTGACCCTTGATATGCTAGAGGGACATTAGTGACCATTCTCTCTGGAGAAAGTAACCTGGCTGAGAAGACTATTGATTGTTTTGCTTCAAAATCCTATTTTAAATATGCCCCTACTAGATGATCCAGTCATGCTTCTCCTAGAAAAGTTTTAGGATAAATTAAAATGTGTGTGTATATATATATTTGTGTATATATATGTATATATATATATATATTTGTATGAAAATGTTCATCACAGCTTTATTTATTATTGCCAAAAACAGTAAACAACCCAAATATCCATCAACAAATTACATATTCTTTTTTTTTAAGACACTATTTCACTCTGTTGCCTAGGTTGGAGTGCAGTGACACAATCTCAGCTCACTGCAACCTCCACCTCCTGGGTTCAAGCAATTCTTCTGCCTCAGCCTCTTGAGTAGCTGGGACTACAGGCACATGCCACCATGCCCAGCTAATTCTTTTTTTTTTTTTTTTTTGGTAGAGATGGGATTTCACCATGTTGATCAGACTGGTCTCGAATTCCTTACCTCAAGTGATCCGCCTGCTTTGGCCTCCCAAAGTACTGGGATTACAGGCATGAGCCACCACACCTGGCCCAAATTATATATTCATTTAACGGAAGACTCTTCCACAACCAAAGGGACAAGCTACGAGTGCACACAACAGGCAGAAGCGCAAGACAAAATGCTGAGTAAAGAGGCCAGATGAGAGATCATGCACCATACAATTCTGTTTCTGTGACTTTAGAGTAGGAAAACTCATCTGTGACAAAAAAAAAAAAAAAAAAATAGAACAATGTTTGCCAGGGACAGAGGGTAGTGTAGGAATTGACTGTAAAGGGACACCAGGGATCTTTCTGAGGAAAAGGAACTATCTTATGACTTGATAGAGGAAAGGGTGTTTGCATTTGTCAAAACTCATGTAAAGCAGATCTTAATTTAAAACGTCAACGCTATTTGAGTATCAGAAGTGTTTCATTAAATCTACATTGCTATAAGATTCACCATGATTTTATTTACTCCTAGGAAATAAAGGGGAAAAGAGCATCACCACTAAAACTGTGACACACTGTAGGCTGTAAGACACATCTGACTTAGAAATGCTAAATGTGAGGGTTAACATATGTTTTCGAATCAATGATCTTTAAGAGTTTAGTCCTTTCTTTGCGTTTCTCTATAACAATCCTAAACTCATCACTCCCCACAAAACAGGTAGATGCCCCAGGCCAACAAAAATAAAGACTGAGGTCTCAGGAAGACAAAAGAGAAAAGCACGTTAATTATTTTCTAAATATAATTCTTATAAAACAGACATATCAACCCACAGTTCTTAATTAACTTGTTTAAGTTCAAAGTCTGTCACTAATTACTGAACTGTTTTTATTTGATTACTAAAGAGACAAGGATACTCTTCAGCCCCGACTTTAGTGCAAAACTGTTCTCTTTACAGCAAACTGAAATCTGCGTTTATCACATTTAGCTTCTGCTTGTGGAAATCTGTTTAGCAAGCTCCCCTTCTAGAACACAAGTCTCTAGATTACAATGGTTGGTGAATAGTGGAAAGAAATGTCTTTGAACTCAAAATTTATTTTTTCCCCTTATTTAGCAGTGTATCTGGGAAGGTGGAATTTACATTTATTTAATCCTGGGTCCCAATCTCTTCTCTATCGGGATGGATATTCCTCGTTACCATAAAACACAGCTTCTTATCCCCATTATGAGTACTGGCCCCTTCGTTATGCAAATGTGCAGCAGTGAAGCAACTCTGCCCCTGAGGAAAGCGTGTAACAAGACCTTTAATCAATGGAAAGGCCACCCTTCCAGAACTGACCTTTCAGCTTGCAGGGCTTCTCAGTAGGCAGTAAGTAAATTTCCAAAGGCACTTCCTGGGAAGAGAGAATCTGATACCCAGACACCTTCCTTTGTGAGGCTCAATGTGTATAGAATTTCTCTAATATATGAAGATGATCCCAATGAGGTGTGCTGATGGAAAAATACATCACAAGTTACAACACACCGTGAGGTCACAAGAAATCTGTACTGGTGATCCAGGCCCAAAGCCACGTCTTGAATATTTCTGGGAATGGCTAGAACTAGCACAGCACATAAATAAGTCTGTTCTAGTAAACATGCACTGGGAGTTGTTTCTATCAGTATCCAGCCAAGGGGGTAAAAACCTTTCTATGGGCCGAGTGTGGTGGCTCATGCCTGTAATCCCTGCACTTTGGGAGGCAAAGCCAGGCAGATCACCTGAGGTCAGGAGTTCGAGACCAGTGTGGTCAACGTGGCGAAACCCTGTCTCTATTAAAAATACAAAAATTAGCTGGGCATGGTGGTGCATGCCTATAATCCCGGATACTTGGGAGACTGAGGCAGAAGAATCGCTTGAACCCAGGAGGCAGAGGTTGCAATGAGCCAAGATTGCGCCACTGCATTCTAGCCTGGGCAGAGCAAGACTCTGTCTAAAAACAAACAAACTAACTAACAAAAAACCCATCTTTCTATGTATTTGAAACAGAAGGGGATTTAATACAGGCAACTGGTTACACAAGTTTTGGAATTTTTAGCAGAGCAAAAGGTGGGGTTACCTACAGATCAGTGTCTAAAGGAAGTCCCTACTGCCCCCAGAGTTTGAGTTACAAAAGGTATTATTACCAGAGCCTATGAGCACATACTTGCTGCTATGGCTGCTGTTACGGCCACCTCTGCTACCAGGGAGGTGATATTCCTACTGATGTTGAGGATCCTGGAACTCTATGATCCTTCTAAATCTGTTGCCAGGAGTAAAATGGCTTTTGCATTCTTCCTACTTATAATTTTGTGTTATTGAACAAAATCACCTGGACTTAATTGGTAAGAGAGATTAGGAAATGTAGTTTTCAGACTTCTAGACTGAGCAGTAACAGAGAGTATATGGAAGGACTACTATGGGACTTAATACCAACAGTCAATATCTGGCACAGGAAGAATGATTGAATGTGACTGAACTTGAGTGAAACTTCATTAAATTCTTGGACGGGAAATCACCAGGGGCATCACTACAGTAATGGACAGAGATGTATCAGGCCATGCCAAAATTATTTTCAACAGTGACGCTAGTGTATGGTAATATCAGAAACAATAGAAGTAGTAGACTAATTAATGTCGCAAATTCTCTGCCTCTGGTTTTTGTCAGATGTGGTTGGAATGGCCACAGGTTGGCTTCTGTGAATATCAAATTATCTTTCTGACCTCTCTATGGAAAGCGATCTTATAAAATCATTGTTGGCTGTGTGTGGTGGCTCACACCTGTAATCCCAGCACTTTGGGAGGCCAAGGTGGGCAGATCATTTGTTGTCAGGAGTTTGAGACCAGCCTGGCCAACATAGCAAAATCCCATTTCTACTAAAAATACAAAAAAAAGAAAAAAGAAAAATTAGTCATGCATAGTGGCTCATGCCTGTAATCCCAACTACTCAGGAGGCTGAGGCGCAAGAATCACTTGAACCCAAGAGGCAGAGGTTACAGTGAGCTAAGATCATGCCATTGCACTGCAGCCTCGGCAACAGAGCAAGACGCTGTCTCAAAATAATAATAATAATAATAAATGCAGCTGAAAACATTATAGAAGTATGTTAAACAATTAATTTTTAACATATTATTTTTCTAAATTATGTAATATTTGTGTTATTTGCAAACTTGTCAAAATATGTAATTTGTTGTGTTTTATTTTATCATTCCTTCACTTTTATACCTATAAAAAGAGAGAAAGGCTATGGCCCAACCTGCTTTCAATGACCATTAGGACCCCAAACTGCTTTCTGTCCATTCTTTAACTCATTTTATTTTTAATTTGTGTCTTATGTCATTTGAGAAAATAGTCTGGGATTGGCAAGTGGCACTGGTGTTCATTTAAAAATAAATAAAAAGTCTGGCTACAGGGTTGTGCGTTTTAATGCTTGTTTCAAAACAAGCTATTAGTATCCTCAATTTTCTCTATTAATTTTGTTTTAATTTCATTGGCTTCTGCTGGGTTTATTATTTGCTTCATTCTGCTTACTTTCCGTTTTATTTGCTTTTCTTTTTATATTTTCTTTAGGTAGAAGCTGAGATCATTGAGTTGAGATTTTTCTATTTCTCTAATATAGGCATTTAATACTATAAATTTCCCTCTAAGCACCGCTTTAGCTGCATGCCTCAGATTAAATAATGCATTCTCATCTCACTCAGTTAAAAAAAATTTCTACCTTGTGATTTCTTCCTTGACCTGTGGATTATTTGAAAATGTTTTGTTGAATTTTCAAATATTTGAGAATTTTCTAGATGTCATTCTATTAATGATTTTCATTTTAATTATGTTGTGTAGATAATATACTTTATATGATATGAATCCTTTTATGTTTATTGAGGCCCAGAACAGAATCTATTTTCAATGGTTCAGAGAGGGTTCTCTCTTGGTGAACGCTCCATGTGTGTTTGTAAAGAATGTGTATTCTCTCTGCTGTTGTTGGATGGACTGCCTTAAAAGTGTTTTCAGTCTTCTATATTCTTACTGATTTTTTTATCCACTTGTTCTATCAATTACTGAGAGAGGAGTGTTGGACCACACTTCAACAATAATTACAGATTTTTTAAAATGTCTCCCTTTAGTTCTATCAGTTTTTGCTTAATGTGTTTTGAAGCTCTATTATTAAGTACATTCACATATAAGATTGTAATGTCTTCTTGATTAATTTACCCTGTTAGTATGTGATGTCTTTATTTATCTCTGGTAATATTCTTTATCCTGAAGTCCACTTTGTCTGATATTAATGTAGCTATTTTGGGTTTCTTTTTATTAGTGTTGGCATGTTTTTTTTTTTCATTATTTTACTTTTAACCTATCTGTGTCTTTATATTTATAATGGGATTGTTGTAGAAAGAATACAGTTGGGTTCTGCTTTTTAAAATCCAATCCGATAATTTATCTAATTTCTGGAGCTGTTTAAACCATGTATATTTAATTTAATTATTGATATGACCAAATTTAAATCTGTCATCATTCTATGTGTTTTCTATTTGTCCCATCTGTTCCTTGTTCCTTTTTTTCTTATGCCTTGTCCTTGTTTTTGATTAACTGAGTTTTGTTTTGTTTTGTTTGTTTGTTTGTTTTGAGATGGAGTCTTGCTCTGTTGCCCAGGCTGAAGTGCAGTGGTGTTATCTTAGCTCGCCGCAAACTCCGCCTCCCAGTTTCAAGCAATTCTCCTGTCTCAGTCTCCTGAGTAGTTGGGATTATAGGCGTGCACCAACATGCCCAGCTAATTGTCATATTTTTAGTAGAGACAGGGTTTCACCATGTTGGCCAGGCTGGTCTCGAACTCCTGACCTCAGGTGATCCGCCCACTTCAACCTCCCAAAGTGCTAGGATTACAGGTGTGAGTCACTACATCTGGCCAATTAACTGAGTATTTTTATGGTTCCATTTTATCTCTACTCTTGGTTTACTAGCTATACTTTTATTTGTTTTTTAGTGGTTGCCGTAGAATTTATAACATATATTTTTAACTTGTCACAGCCTATCTTCAAATAATATTATAACACTTCCCCTTAAATGCACAATCTTTTAGTAGTATATTTCTATTTTCTCTTTCCCATCCTTTGTGCTGTTATTAAAATGCATTATACTACTACATGTTATAAATCTCATAATATATTATTACTATGTTTGCTTTAGGGAGTTGATTATCTTTTAAAAGAGATTAAAATAAGAAAAAATGTTTTCCATATTTGCCCACATTTTAATATTTTTTTCTGTCACTATGGCAGAACAGTGGTTTCAAGCACTCCTCATTCCTTTGTGTAGATCCAAATTTCTTTCAATTCTCAGATTCCTTCTGCCTGGAGAATTTACTTTAACATTTCCTGTAGTGTAGTACTTACAATGAAAAATTCTCTTCTATTTGCCAAAAAAAACCTTTTTTTATTTATGAAATATTTTCATAATTTAAAAAATGTTCACTGAATATGATTCTAGGTGGATTTTTTCTTTGAATATGTTAAAGATGTCATTCCATTGTCTTCTGCTTGCATAGTGCCTAATGAAAAGTCTGCTTCATAGAATGTCTTCCTTATGGACTATTTCCTTATTCTCTGGCTACCTTCAAAGATTTCCTCTTCACGCTGATTTTCAACAGTTTGTCTAGGATGTGCTCAGGTGTGTTTTTATTCATTTTTATCTTGCTTAGGGTTATCTGAGCTTCTTGGATCTGTGGACTGTTGTTTTTCATTCATCTGGGGAAAACCTCAGCTGTTATCATTTCTTCTGACCTCTTGTCTCTTCTTCTGGGACTCAATTACATGTATGTTAAGCCATTTCATATTATCCTACGGTTTTTGAAATGCTATTATTTTTCTCCTCTCTTTTTACTCCTTAAGTTTCAGTGTGGATAATTTCCACTGACCTCTCTTCACGTTCACCAATTCTTTCTTCTGCTACATTCATTTCATGAATAAGCCTGTTGAAGGAATCCTTTAAAGCTGAGACCATGATTGTATTAGTCTGCTAAGACAAGCTCTATTTCCAAATACAGTGACACTGGGGACTAGGCTTCAATATATAAATTTTGAGATACACAAGTCAGTCTATAACAATCATTTTCATTGCTCATGTTTCATTTAACTCTTTTTTTAGAGTTCCCATCTCTCTGATCAAATTCTCCATCATATATGTTGTCCACCTTTTCACTAGACTCTTTAACATATTAATTAGTTAAAATCTCTGCTAGTTTGAGCATCTGCAGCATCTCTCTGTCTGATTCTGTTGACTGTTTTGTTTTTAGGCTCTCTTAAAATTTGGATTGAATGCTGGACTTTGTGTGTAAAGGAATAGCAGAGACTGAGGTAAATAATACTGACAACTAGAAATGGCTTGTATCTTCTCCTATCAGCTGATTAATGTGGGAGCTGATTCAATTTAGGATCTACCCAAGGCTGGGTTGATGGGCATGTGGCCTGGGCATGTGACACAGGCCGTCATTGCTTAGAAGGGCCCTGAACTTGGTTTGATGCTCTGCTGTTACCACACTAAAATTCTTAGGAATTTTGAACAAGGGACCTCATGTTTTCATTTCTGCACTGGGCCTTGCAAATTATGTAGCTCATAAGTATGTTTTTGTCTGCTTCAGAAAATCTGGAGATAAGAAATTCTCTACAGAAATGATGAAAAAGTCAGGAGGACTTTATGTATCAGTGTTACTAAGTTAGAGAGTACAGATGGTTGAGTAAATATATCCAGTTAATAACATAGTGTTTTTCAAAAGCCACAGAGATCTGCTCTGGAAATTGAAGGTCAGAAACCAGTAATACAACCAGCCATTGCCTCAAAGACATAAACCATAAAAATTTATCAATTAGACCAGGTAGATAATATGACTAGCCAGAATTTCCCTTTAAAATCAGACTCACCAGGTTAAATGAAGAAATGCCCAATATGAATATGTTTTTAATAATGTAATTCTTAGAATAATCTTGTATGCATTATAACTTTATGAATGTTCTTTCTATTACATTATAACTTTAAGTTTCTTACAATAATAAACTTTCTCTTTAAAAATATAATATCACTGTGTGTTCTATATAACTGTAATATAATGAAATTTGTTTTAAATCACAAAAATGTAATGAAGATGTGGGGATAGGCTTACTAGTATGTTAAAATTGATGAAAATAAACAATATACTATATGTCTTTCCTTCCAGCAAGAAAATGAAAACACTATAGCTAACACAAAAGAAATCTACAAGGGAAAAAAATCCAAGCCTATTGAAAATGTATTTTCTCTTTTTAGACATATTGTCAGGAGAAAATTTAGTTGTTAGGGCCTGGCGTGGTGGTTCATGCCATGTAATCCCAGCATGTTGGGAGGCCAAGGTGGGGAGGATCCCTTGAGCCCAGGAGTTCAAGACCAGCCTGGGCAACATAGGGAGGCTCTGTCTCTTAAAAAGAAAAAGAAAAAAAATTAGTTGTTAGAGAAAAACCAAAAAAACAAAAATAATGACAAACAACATAGATGTTCTCCTTCACATTCAATAAATTCAAAGAAAGACAGACCAGGCTGGTTTGGTTCTTCTGGTGTCAGGGACTCACCCTCTTTCCATCTTGTTCCTACTCTATGGATGGCTTGTGGCTTCCATTTTCAAGAATCCTCATGGTCCAGTGTGACTGCTGGGGCTCCAGTCATTATGGCTGCATTCCAACCAGCAAGAAGGAGGAAGGGTTTAGAGTGGCACATTTTCTCCTCTCAAGGCCATTTAAATTAAATCACAAGACATAAAGCACATCTCTTGTTTTCATATTTACTTTGCATCAGTAAACAAAATTTGCCTATTGCTTTTGGGAGAGCATGTAGAGAGAGTTTCTGAAATAAATGAACCTTCTTTTGGGTCTAACAATCTTCCTTAGCTGAGACACCTCAGTCTACCAGGATCCAAATTCTAAATCTGTGCTTGGAGCCAGCTGCGGTGGCTCATGCCTGTAATCCCAACACTTTTTGGGAGGCTGAGATAGGAGGATCACCTGAGCCCAGGAGTTTGAGAATGGCTAGGCAAAACAGCGAGACCCTGTCTCTTAAAAAGTTTTTTAATTAAACTAAATTAAAAAGATAAAATCTAGTATTGGTTATGTATTTTGGAAACAGTTTCATTTTGAAGCCTGTTTACTTTATTTTATTTATTTAAAGCAGCTGTCTTGGATGGCTTTTTAAAAATACTTTGTTTATGACAGCTAGAGAAATAATTTGGCGAAAAAAGAGAGAGAGAAATGACTCTAACTCCAGAGAAGCAAATAAAATAGTTTTAGATTCATAAATAGCTTATGGTTCAACTTAGAAGCCTATAAATTTTTACATTTAAAAAATTATAACATCTATAAAATGTTATACCTTGTAGATATTTTATTTTTAACATTTTAGGTCAAGGACTCTTGAAAGAACTAATAAATAATTATTTGTCAATTTAAAAAAATAGGCTGGGCCTGGTGGTTCATGCCTGTAATCCTAGCACTTTGGGAGGCTGAGGCAGGTGGATCACTTGAGGTCAGGAGCTCGAGACCAGCCTGGCCAACATGGTGAAACCCCGTCTCTACTAAAAATACAAAAATTAGCCGGACGTCTTGGCGTGCTTCTGTAGTCCCAGCTACTCAGGAGGCCGAGGCAGGAAAATCACTTGAACCCAGGAGGTGGAGGCTGTAGTGAGCCGAGATCGTACCACTGCACTCCAGCCTGGGCAACAGAGTGAGACTCTGCCTCAAAATAAATAAATAAATAAATAAATAAATAGGAAAATAAAATAAAATGAAATTCATGAACCAAATTCATTTCAAGTAAATTAAATATTTCTGATTTTCTAACACGGTAGGGGAACAGAAACACTTCTAATAGTTGCCAGGGCTAAAAGACGATTGCTATGAATCAGATGTCGCAAAGGCTATGGCTTGACTTTGACTTGCATGGGATTTTGATTTTTTTCTTTTTCTTTCTTTTCTTTTTTTTTCTTTTGAGACAGAGTCTCACTGTTGCCCAGGCTGGAAGTGCAGTGGTGTGATCTCCTGGCTCACTGCAACCTCTGCCTCCCAGGTTCAAGCAATTCTCCTCCCTCGGCCTCCTGAGTAGCTGGGATTACAGGCATGCATCACCACACCAAGCTAATTTTTATATTTTTAGCAGAGATGGGGTATCACGTTGTTGGGCAGGCTGGTCTTGAACTCCTGACCTCAAGTGATCCACCCACCTCAGCTTCCCAAAGTGCTGGGATTACAGGCATGAGCCACTGCACCCGGGCGGATTTTGATCTTTTTTCTAAAACGATAATCACTGTTTATAAACTGAGAGATTTTACACAAGGACCTATAATTTCAAAGTCTCTTCAAAAACTGAAAATATGCTGGCCTAGTGCCTCGTGCCTGTAATCCCAACACTTTGGGAGGCCAAGAAGGGAGAATTGCTTGAGCCCAAGAGTTCGGCACCAGCCTGGGCAACATGGCAAAATCTGGTCTCTGCAAAAACACAAAAATTAGCCTGGTGAGGTGGCGTGCTCCTGTAGTCCCAGCTACTTGGAAGGCTGAGTCAAGAGGATCATGTAAACCCAGGAGGTAGAGGCTGCAAAGCGCTGTGATCACGCCACTGTACTCCAGCCTGTGTGACAGAGCAAGACCCTATCTCAAAACAAAACAAAAAACCAAACTAAAAATATGAGCGTAGTAGACATGCATTGCTCTCTTATACTCTACCAGAGCTGGCAGCCCACTCCCTCTTGTCTGGTGCCCCCGACCCTGTGGCCTGTACCCTGTAGGCATTTGGGTTTGCAATTCCCAGATACATCTTGGGTTTACATTTTTTAAACCCTGAGGTTCTATCACTCTTCCCTTTCATTTTATCCTGAGATCACTAAGAGATGAACCAAAAAACAAAGGTGAAGGCAGAAAGCTCTTTAAAGATTTCCCTTCTCCCAGGTTCTTACCAGGAGGTAAGGAAGGTAGAGAAGGGTTTGGAGATGGAAGAGAAAGGGCAACCAATCTTTGGTGAGGTGAGGGAAGAGACTGGTGGGCAAGAGGCCACGCTGTGCTCTTAGGAGGATGATGGCAGTAGGGGAATTACAAAGAGGAGGGGACATTAAGCCACTTCCTCTTGGGGCAATATGTTTTATAGTTTTACCATCTTAGCTGGGCATTGTCTTGCTGTAAGAAGGGACAGCAAGAGACCTGGAACATTGCTCCCGGCTGTTGGAACTCCACTCAGGGTGGGGTTTTTGTCTTCACTATCTGTTCATGGGACCTCCCCACCCGCCTTCTCCCCACTCTGGCGTTCTGCCTGGACAGATGGCCCTAGCTTAGTATCACAGATAATATTTCTCCAGACACTCTTCAACCTCTAAATTGTACTTAACATTTTTAGCTAACAACTTTCTCCACAATCACCTTAGATAGTTTACCAAGGACAACATATTATAGAGTATGTGTTGTCTATTTCATACCTAACATGTACTGAGAGCTTATTACATGTTAAGCACTCTTCAAAATGCTTTTGTCGACTCATTTAATCCTCTCAAACACCTTATGGCGTAGGTTCCATTATTTCCATTTTACAGATGAGGAAAGGAAGACACAGAGAAGTTAATAACTTGCCCAAAGGAACCCATTTGGAGATAGATACATGGATAAATATATAGATACAGATGCACACACACAGACGTAAAGCATACATAAATATAAAAGCCAGGCTGGACACAGTGGCTCACACCTGTAATCCCAGCAGTTTGAGAGGCCAAGAGAGGAGAAGCCCTTGAGGCCAGAAGTTTGAGACCAGCCTGGGCAACATAGTGAGACCTCATCTCTACAGAAAAATTTTTTAATTAGCTAGGTATAGTGAGCATGCGTCAGTAGTCCTGCCTACTTGGGAGGCTGAGGCAGGAGGATTGCTTGAGCCCAGGAAGTCAAGGCTGCAGTGAACTATAATTGTGCCTCTGCACTCCAGCCTGGATGACAGAGCAAGACTATTATTTTTAAAACTTATGAAAACCTATCTCATAATTCTCATTCACAATATGTGATGCTCAAAAGCAGATATTCACAGGGCTTCTGCATAAGAGATGCAAGGTATTACAGAAATAAGAAAGCAAAAAACGAAATAAGGTAGAAAATAAAGAGGGTCTTCTGACAGTGAGTGGTGGGTGTAATTCAGATGTTCTTGAAGACTCAGAAGAGGTTTGAAATTGTGCAAAGCCGCTGTTTTATTCACATGACATTGTTTATCATTGCCTTCTACATGTGCACAGTGCCAGGAACAGAGACTTATGGCCAATAAAACACAAAAACTGGAGAGAATGTGCTTCCAATTAAAAAGTACAATTGCAAAACAACTTTGAGTTCAAAATCAGGCCAGGCACAGTGACTTACGCCTGTAATCTCAACCCTTTGGGAGGCTGAGGCAGGCGGATCACCTGAGGTCAGGAGTTCGAGGCCAGCCTGGCCAACATGGTGAAACCCCGTCTCTACTAAAAGTACAAAAATGAGCCAGGCATGGTGGTGCACGCCTGCAGTCCCAGCTACTCTGGAGGCTGAGGCTTAGGAGGCTTCAAATTCATATAACTGGGTGAATCATCAAGAAATAGGCTGGTCTCTTGGGAATTTTTCCTTTCAAAGATCCATCACAGGAAAAAAGAAAGTGAAGGGTGATTTTCCCCGAGAGCAGACCAGTTTTGTGTTCTAGAATTTGGGGTTCTTTCACTCCAGGGATGCAGTTCACTGACTGTTTATGTGTTTGATGTTGATTTGTTTATCTGACTGCAGGGTGCCAGGGAGACTGACCAAATAGGCATTTTTTGGGAGGAAGAAGGAGGCTAATTAAAATAATCTGGCTAGATTGTCAGTGAGGATAAGTGGATATGCAAAAAGTATTTGGGAAGAGGTTAACTAACTAGAGGGGAGTGAGGAGGGTTTGCTGAGGACAGAGGGCAAGGTGGGTCTGGGCAATGACTCGCTTAGTAGTGACCAAGGCCACCCAGGCCCAGGCTACCTCCCTCTATTTTTCCTGGGTTTTGGCACAACCTCAGAGAAGGGAAGAGACTTATTTGCCATAGCGGGGAGTGGAGGGAAAAACAGTATTAGATTTTTATTGATCTTGGAAAGTGGAAGCTCAGAGCCATATCTGATATAATTTACAAAAATAAGGAAATGTGATGTTTTTTCTACTTGAGTATCGAAAAGCAGTTCCTTCTTCTATACCCATGCTCTTAAGCAAAACCCCTTCTGTCAGTCGACTCATTTTCTTTCATTTTCCCCACTTCAGTCTCACTGCCTTGAGGTCTCCAGGTTGGCTGCAGCAATTGGATTCCCTCATAGGGCCCCCTACAGACTCTAACTGGCCCTTGTTCCTAAGTCAAAAGCCAAGTACACCATTACTAGGTGACCATTAGAAATGCATCACCTCGGCAGGGCGCAGTGGCTCACATCTGAAATCCCTGCACTTTGGGAGGCCAAGGCAGGAGGATCTCTTGAATCCAGGAGTTTGAGACCAGCCTGGGCAACATGGAGAAACCCTGTCTCTACAGAAAGTACAAAAATCATCTGGGCGAGGTGGCGTGCACCTGTCGTCCCAGCTACTTGGGAGGCTGAGGTGGGAGGATTGATTGAGCCTAGGAGGTCTAGGCTGTAGTCAGCCGTGATCACTCGACTGCACTCCAGTCTGGGCGACAGAGTGAGACCCTGTCTCAAAAAATAAAAATAAAATAAAATAACATGGTGAATTGTATTTCATATGAATATATCTCCACTTAAAAATCTAGGATTCTAAAGCAAAAAAAAAGAAAAAAGAAAATCCCTTAACCTGAGCCATGGCTCTCTTCTTCCTGATATATCCATCTACCATCCTCCCCTCTGCCTGGCCCCGTCCGCCATCCTCCCCTCTGCCTGGCCCCATCTGCCATCCTCCCCTCTGCCTGGCTCTCCTCCCCAGCTGAGTCCTCTGTCTGCATCTTGCCGACAGTCTGTGGCCAAAGACCCTGTCACTAGGACTTTTCTTTCCAGAGCCTGAGCCTCATCCTCACCTCCAGCTCTGTTCTGAATGATGACTGCTGAGCTGATCCCCACCCTGCATGGGTCCCCTGCGAGAAGCTCCAGAACGACCCCCACCTGAGTCTCTCCTGAATGGTGGACACTCAGCCAAGGAAGCCCACTCTTCCCAAGCCATCTCGTTTCCTTTGGTCTGAGAAAATAGATACTGGACTTTGCTCTCAAAAATAATGATGTCATGTTGTTATGAGTTGAAATGTGTCCACCCAAAAATATATGTTGAAGTCCTAACCCCTGACCCTCAGAATGTGACCTTATTTGGAGATACGGTCTTTATTTTTTTATTTCTATTTTTTTTTTGAGACGGAGTGTCACTCTGTCATGCAGGCTGGAGTGCAGTGGCGCGATCTCGGCTCACTGCAGCCTCCGCCTGCTGGGTTCAAGCAATTCTCCTGCCTCAGCCTCCCAAGTAGCTGGGACTATAGGTGTGCGCCACCCTGCCCGGCCAATTTTTTGTATTTTTAGTAGATTCAGGATTTCACCATGCTGGCCAGGCTGGTCTTGAACTCCTGACCTCATGATCCACCCGCCTCGGCTTCCCAAAGTGGTGGGATTACAGGCATGAGCCACCGCACCGGCTCTGGAGATAGGGTCTTTACCAAGACAATCAAGTTAAAATGAGGTCACTGGGATGGGCCCTGATCCAATATGACTGGTGTGCTTATAAGGAGACAGAATTTGGATGTCAACATGCACAGAGGCAGGATTCTGGGAAGAGACACAGGGAGAGGACAGCCATGTGGCAGGAGCAATGGCAAGGGAATGACAAGGACAGCTGGCAAATGCCATAGCCTGGATGTGGCCAGGAAGGACTTTCCCCTAGAGCCATCAGACACCTGCTGACACCTTGATTTCAGCCTTCCAGCCTCCAGAACTACGAGACAACAAATTTCTGTTGTTTCAAGCCACACGGTGTTTGGTACTTTGTTGCGGCAGGCTTAGGAAATTAATACACACAGAAAAGGCCAGGCGTGGCTGAAGTGTGGATGGGAGGGTCATACATTCTAAAGAGAGACTCCCATGTTGCTCCTAAAAAGGACCAAGCTGTTCATCCATGCAGCAGCTTGAATGGATCTACAGAGAATTGCACTGTTTGCAAAAGCTGACCTCGAAAGGCTACACGCTGGATGATTTCATTTATATAGCAAACGTTCTTGAAATGACAAAGTTGCAGAGATGGATAGCATTGTGGCTGCCGGTGCTGAGGGAAAGTGGAGAGAGGCGGATGGCTGTGGCTATAAAAGGGCAGCACAAGGCAGCCTGGTGTGCTTCATCTTGCCCTGCATCTTGGCCGTGGAGGGGCCACAACCCAACCGCCTGCAATGTGACAAAATTGTGTAGAATTACACACGCACACACGCATGTAACACTGGCAAAATTCGAATGTCTATATGTTGTATCCATGTCATTTCCTGGTTGTGATATTGTACTTTAGCTATTCAACATGCTACCATTGAGGAAAACTGAGTCAAGGGTATACAGGATCTCTCTGTATCATTACAACTACGTGAGAATCTCTACTTACCTCCAAACAAAAAGTTTTTTAAAGATACCATCAAGTCATATCAGTTTAACCCAGGAAAGTAGTCCCTATGGAATATGGATGAAATTAAGTATTATTTCCATCTAAATACAATTCAAGATGTTGGATCCTTTTGTTTTTTTAAGAGGTAACTGACAATCCGAAATAAAAATTCGAAATTTCATCTGGATGAACAAACATAAGAATATTCTTTAAAAGGATAGCAAAGAAACCTTGGGGAGGAGGAACTTACGGGGCAGACCATCCCCTGCAAGATTTGGAAACATGACAGAGCTATAATAACTGGCGGAGACTGTGGAACAGAGTAAGTATCCCAGTAATGGACTAATTATCTAAGTGAAAATAATTTATGGAAACAGTATTTCTAAAAAGGTTAAAAAAAAAAGAAGAGCCTTTGAGTGTACAATGGCATTCTAAATCAATAATTGGCCTTGGTCTTTTCCAGTTTCCTGCTAAAACATTCAATTTATACAATGAGGGAAAGTCTAGACCAGCACTGGACACTACCTGAAGCTTTTAGGAGTTATGGCAGAAAATAGCGCAGATAATAGCAGAGTATAGCAGGGTGTAACAGGGCGTAATACTATCTAACAGTTAAAATTAATGACCTACCACTACATGTATCAATGGAGAAATTAATGCTAAGGGAAAAAGAAAGTTTTGGAATGACATGACAGTGCAGGTTGAGTCTCCATTATCTGAAATGCTTGGAATGTGAAATATTTCAGAATTCAGATTTTTTCAGATTTTGGAATATTCACATATACACAATGAGGTATCTTGGGGATGGGACCTAAGTCTAAATATAAAATTCATTTATGTTTCATATGTACCCTATACACATAGCCTAAAGGTAGTTTCATACAATATTTTTAATAATTTGTGCATGAAACAGTTTGTGTCTATTGAACGCCCAGAAAGCAACGTTGTTGCCACTGCAGTCACCCACGTGAACATCTGCGGATGATTGGCATCACCACCATTCCTGACTCTGACTCTGAATTTATGGGCTACCCTTACAAACAATCGTTTTCTTACACTTATTCACACATGAGTACTTAACAGTAAAAAATATGACATAGCATTAAACCAGTGAAAACATAATGTGTTCAGGGTCACTAAGCAGCCCAGTGGTGTCATCAGAGACCTGGATCAGCCGACAGACAACAGCAACCACGACAGTGGGCTTCCATCTCCATCAATGATGCTGTGTTCTGATTAAACGATACTGTAGGCCGGGCTCGGTGGCTCATGCCTGTAATCCCAGCACTTTGTGAGGCCAAGGCAGGAGGTTCACCTGAAGTCAGGAGTTTGAGACTAGCCTGGCCAACGTGGTGAAGCTCCATCTCTACTAACAATACAAAAAAAAAATTAGCCGGGTATGGTGGCAGGCGCCTTTAATCCCAGCTACTCAGGAAGCTGAGGCGGAAGGATCACCTGAGCCTGGGAGCTCAAGGCTGTAGTGAGATGGAATCACGCCACTGCACTCCAGCCAGGGCAACATAGTGAGACCCTGCCTCAAAAAAAAAAAAAAAAAAAAAGGAAAAGTTCACTATAAGCTAAACCTTGAGCCTAGAGCACGTGCAGAACCCTGGAGAAGTTCCTACCCCCAAGGCAGGAGTTCGTAGCTAATAGCTTCTTGGGCTTTTGGTGCAGACTGGCTGGAGATTGGAGAAGCTACATCATGAGAAAGGGGCTTTTGTTCTCTTTTCTGGGCCGAATCAGGCAGCAGCAACTTGTAACCATCTGGCCATCTGCTGGTATCTTGTAGGGCAGCTTATCTTGCAAAAGCACTAGGTGCTGACGCAGGAGAGTTGCAAGCAAAAGAAGACTCTGCAAAAGGGTCCTTCAGGGCTTCGCACAAGGGGACAAGTTGGTACAGGGTCCTCATCTTGCTTACCCTGCCTCGAACACCCACCGTTCTAGTCCTTCAATGAGCCCATCGCATGCTTTCATCATGGCGCCTGCAGGTGCGTGTTCTGCTGTGATAACAGCATTATGTTCGTCATCACTGTTAGCACAAGCACCTTGGTTCAGAACCGTTTTGCCATTGTTCATCATCGGTCAATGAACGAACAACTGGAGCCACAGTATAGATGTTAAAAACCTGTATATCCACTTCGTCCAGCATGCTGACACACTCTGAAGGTATATTTTTTGCCTGCATAGGGAGGTCAGACATCATTTTTTTCCCACTTCACATATGGAATACTTCCATGTCATCACCTTGTTCATCATCATCACTGAACATAGTCGCAGACCAGAGGTTGTGCCATGCACGCATGGCTGTGTCGTTAGTCACTGAGTTCCAAGCATTGGAAACAGCATTGGCATCCTTCATGCTAAACACCTTTTGAAAACTTCCACACCCACCCCTCTGTTCACTGCTGCTAGCGTGCAATGTTTCCATATTTACTCTCCATTGATCTCCATTGATCTAAGGATACCCTGGTCACATGGCTGAAGTAATGAAGTCACATTTGGAAGAAAGCCCATGGCATAAACATTATTTTTAATGAGAGTTTCAGCTGGAGGATGAGCAGAATGGTTGTCAAAGAAAAACAAAATCTTGCAGTCATCATCCAGTCCACCCTCCCTACAGTGACACAAGCCACTGGTCCAAAATGTTTGTGAGACTAATCAGAAAAGATGTCCCTGATTATACATGTAATCTCAGCTACTCAGGAAGCTGAGGTGGGAGGATGGCTTGAGGCCAGGAGTGTGAGACCAGCCTTGGCAACATAGTGAGACCTCATCTCTAGAAATAAATAAATATCAGCCAGGTGTGGTGGTGCACACCTATAGGTGTGCTGTGTTGCCCAGGCTGGTCTCGAACTCCTGAGCTCAAGTGATCCACCCACCTTGGCCTCCCAAAGTGCTGGGATTACAGACGTGAGCCACTGCACCCGGCCAACATTTTCAACATCATTAGACCAGAGAGCAGAGAATAAGCAAAAATAGCACAGTGAGAAGTGCACAGAGGCGGGGCTTGGCTCCATATGGGGAATTGTCGGGACCTACCATGGGTGTGTTCGACCTGCACACAGGCCATTTTACCACCTTTTGTGTGCGTGCTTGCATGGGGGAATCTGGGCATGCACAGAAAAGATATCTCTCAGCTGAAGGCGGCTGGGAGAGTCTTTTTTCCCCTTGGGGATGCTGAATAAACAGTGTGTTATGTGCCTGTGTTTTGATTGCCACCCACCCCACGAGATCAGGTGTGGAATTTTCCACTTGTGGCGTAATGTCAGAGCTCAAAAAGTTTTGGATTTTGGACCATTTTGGATTTGGGATTTGGAGATCAGGGGTGCTCAATCTGTATGGTACTGTTCATATGAATTTTTTTTTTTTTTTTTTGAGACCGAGTCTCTTTCTGTCGCCCAGGCTAGAGTGCAGTGGTGTGATCTCAGCTCACTGCATCCTCCACCTCCCAGGTTCAAGCGATTCTCATGCCTCAGCCTCCCAAGTAGATGAGATTACAGGTGCGTGCCACCACACCCTGCTAATTTTTGTATTTTTAGTAGAGATGGGGTTTCACCATGTAGGCCAGGCTGGTCTCGAACTCCTGACCTCAAGTGATCTGCCCACCTCAGCCTCCCAAAGTGCTGGGATTACAGTCATGAGCCACCACACCCAGCCTTAATCACATGAATTTTTAAAAATGTAAGCCATCCTGTCCGTTGCACATGGACATACACATGGAAAAGGGGCCTAAGAATGCCTGGGAATGATGAGTACCAGTTTCAAGAAACATTTACCTGCGAGAAAGTGGAAGACGGAGGAAGAGAAAGATGCAAGAATACAAAGGGGCTTCAACTTTATCTGTAATTTTTTTATTCCAAAAAATATCTGAAGCAAACATTGAGCAGACATATTAAGTTTTGACAGGATGAGGCAGTAGGCTCATGGATATCCACTATATTTATTGATTGCTATAGTTCGAAGTATATTTGAAATTTACATTATTTAACAACGTATATATATGTAATGAAATAGAGTTCTTTAAGCATACCAAATTTACAATTTTATTTTCAAATTTTAAAATTTACTTTTGGTCAGAATGCAGTAAAATGGGTACTTTAACACAATCAATGCTAGTTAGAAGGTATATTGATACAAGACTTTTGGAAAGCAAGATAGAAATATTTGTTTAAAAGAGAAAAAGCCTTTAAAAATATTCCCTACCAGTTGACTCAATAGTTCCACTGTAGGAAATCTATTCTAAGCGATCTTAAATTCACAAGATTTTGTAGAAAGACATTTATGACAATGTTATCTTTAATATTAAAATAATAGAGGGGATGTTAAACTATGATAATTTGCAGCCATTAAAAACTTTTACAAAGAGTCTGTAATAATGGAGAAATCTCTACTTCATAAATGTCCATAGAATAAAAAATGCTCTATTGTATACATGCTATGCTTAGCCTGCATTCAATAAACCCTCAATATATTTGAGAATATTAAGGAATATTGTTAATTTTTAAATTTGATCTTATCATCTTGAGATTTATTATTAAGTATTGAGAGAAATTGAATAATGTGGGATTTCCCCAGTTGGAGTAAGGGTGGCTATTCCTGCTTAGAAAAAAAGAATGGACCTTGTGTGGTCACTGCCGGATGGTAGGTTCATTATTCTTTCTACTTTTTTTTTTTAAATTTAAGAGACAGGAACTGGCTGTGTTGCCCAGGCTGGAGTGCAGTGGTGCGATCTCAGCTCACTGCAACCTCAGCCTCCTGGGTTCAAGTGATTCTCCTGCCTCAGCCTCCTGAATAGCTGGGATTACAGGCGCCCGCCACCATGCCCAGCTAATTTTGGTATTTTTAGTAGAGATGGGGTTTCACCATGTTGGCCAGGCTAGTCTCGAATTCCTGACTTCAGGCGATCCACCTGCCTTGGCCTCCGAAAGTGCTTGGATTTCAGGAGTGGCCACCGCGCTCGGCCCTAAATTCTTTTATTTAACTTTTAAGTTCAGGGTTATAAGTGCAGGTTTGTTATAAAGGTAAACCTGTGTCTTGGGGGATTATTGTACAGATTATTTCGTTTTCAAAGAGAATTTGCAAGTATGTCACAAAAGCCTCATAAACACGTTGTGAGATTTTAAGAGGCAATGACCGAGGCTTGGAGATGTCTCGTCCTGTCCAATGTCACCGCTAGACCTGAGAATCTGCACTTGGGAGCTTACAGACCCGGTTCTCAGGCTTCACTTGAGACCCCAAGAAAGAAAAAAACCCACCAGCCAAAGAGGAGGATGGCAGCCTGGAAGAACCTAAGGAAGCGAGGCTCAGAGGTGAAGCACTGTGGCTCCTCTCCCCCTTCTCCCCCCTCCGCCCCCTCTCCTTCTAAGATGAGGCATTTTCTAGGGGAGCAAAGCTGCAGCAGGAATTCGGCGAAGTGGCGGAGCTGGGGCCCCAGCGGGCGCCGGGGGCCGCGGGAGCCAGCAGGTGGCGGGGGCTGCGCTCCGCCCGGGCCAGAGCGCACCAGGCAGGTGCCCGCGCCTCCGCACCGCGGCGACACCTCCGCGGGCACTCACCCAGGCCGGCCGCTCACAACCGAGCGCAGGGCCGCGGAGGGAGACCAGGAAAGCCGAAGGCGGAGCAGCTGGAGGCGACCAGCGCCGGGCGAGGTCAAGTGGATCCGAGCCGCAGAGAGGGCTGGAGAGAGTCTGCTCTCCGATGACTTTGCCCACTCTCTTCGCAGTGGGGACACCGGACCGAGTGCACACTGGAGGTCCCAGAGCACGACGAGCGCGGAGGACCGGGAGGCTCCCGGGCTTGCGTGGGTAAGGTCCTGGGTCCCCACCGGGCACGGCCCATGCGTCCCGGGGACAGGGGTGGCTGTGCGGTGCCGCGGCGGCCGGCGGGGCTCCTTCCCCAGCAGGGGTGGGGACGCTGAGTCACGGATCTGTCACCGCTTTGCACCTCTCCGAGCCCTCGGGGGCCAAAGCAAAAGCGAAAGCGAATGCGACTGGCGGGGCGGCAGGTCCCAGAGCAGCGCTCGCCACCTCCCCCCGGCCTGGGCAGCGCTCGCCCGGGGAGTCCAGCGGTGTCCTGTGGAGCTGCCGCCATGGCCCCGCGGCGGGCGCGCGGCTGCCGGACCCTCGGTCTCCCGGCGCTGCTACTGCTGCTGCTGCTCCGGCCGCCGGCGACGCGGGGTAGGGAGCTGGGAGCAGGGGCGCCCGGGCGGGACTTGGAAGGGGGCCGGGACGTGGAGCTGGAGGGAACCGGGCGCCCCATCTCCCCGGGCCGTGCGGGGGCGTCGGTGCCCTCGGGAGCGCGGTGCGCGCAGGCCCAGGCCGGGGAGGGGACGCGGCGCCGGGCAGGAGGGACACGTGCCGGGAGCCGGGGTCGCAGGGAGAGCGCCGCCGCTGCGCCCGGGTCACCCACGTAAGGGAGCGGGCGGCCTGGCTGGGGTCTCCGAGGCCGAGGTCAGGAGCAGTTCTGAGAAGCCCGTTTTGGCCACGGGAGCGCGGAGCCGGCGGCGTCCAGCAGTTTGGAGACACGGGCGAGTGCGCTTCTCCCAGGCGCCTGGACTGCAGGGCGGGTGTTGCATAGCACGCGGTCCTCGGAGGGGTCCGGGAGAAACTACTCCTCCCGACTCCCAGGCAAAAGTAAATTATGTCAGTGGGAGCTGGGAGGGTGGGGAGGAGCTGTGTCCCAGGGGGAAACGCGTCGGGCAAGTTGCACACCTGGGGACCTGGAAACAACTTCCAATTCTTAAGCGATCAGGAAACCAGCAGAGGCGGTCGGGACCGGATGGGGGTGGGGAGTGGGGGCCAGCCTGGAGTCTACACTCGCAGAAAAAGGGGGAAGAGATCTGTGATCGCTTGGTGTATTCGAGAAGAAAGCGGGTCGCGGAGCTCTGATCTCGGCAGGGAGGACGGAATGAGCGATTCCTAGGGGTTTTGTCCCGGCAGCCAGAGGAAGGAGGAAAACAGTAGCAGGGTCTAGCTCTATCCTTGTCAGCGCTTCTTTATCTTTTTATAGTCAGGGAGCTCTTGGAGGGTCTGATGAAAGCTATGAACCCCCGGCCCCCAGAAAAATGCATGAATGAACATAGTTACAAAATGTGCATATGATTTTGGGGTCAAAGCCCCACTGAAGGCCATCCATGGACTCTCTATAGGAATTAGTAACGCCATGATCTGTGTGTGTTTTTAAGCGAGACCCTGAATAATTTACATCCAGTCGGGCCAGTCTGCCCAGGCCCTGGCCAAAGCCATTCCACGCACAGTTGCTGCTGCCTGGTGTGGCCTGAACGCCCCCCCACCCTCTGCCACCCCCACCCCAGCTCTGCGAGGCTTCTTGAAGTTTCGTTTTCATGAGACTCTGATGCTTGGATTTCCCCCCACATCTGAGAAGCAGAGTTAGTTGGTGACCGGTTGGTTCCTCCCAGTTGGCTAGCAGTGTCACAGGACCCCATAGCTGGCAACTGGGGCAGCTGGATTACACAATATGAAAGTGAAATGCAGCCTTAGTCAAAGCCCAGCAGAGAGGAGGTGTCTTCCTTGAAGACTGAGTGGATAGGGGAGCACCACTGTGAGATCTCTGATCTCATCAGCTGCACAGCCTTGCCCTTTGACCTTAGAAAGATGTTGCTACCTTCCCTTCCCAAAGCTCTCAATGTTTTTTCTTTTTCTTTTTCTTTCTTTCTTGTTTTCTTTTTTGAGACGGAGTCTCACTCTGTCACCCCGGCTGGGGTGCAGTAGCGCGATCTCAGCTCACTGCAACCTCCGCCTCCTGGGTTCAAGCGATTCTGCTGCCTCAGCCTCCTGAGTAGCTGGGATTACAGGCGATCGCCACCACGCCCAGTAACTTTTGTGTTTTTAATAGAGACGGGGTTTCATCATGTTGGTCAGGCTGATCCAACATGGTGATCACTCCTGACCTTGTGATCTGCCCGCCTCGGCCTTCCAAAGTGCTGGGATTACAGGCGTGAGCCAGCTTGCCCAGCCGTTGTTTTTTTTCCCTTTAACAGCCTTATTGAGGTATAATTGACCGACAATAAACTGCATATATTGAAGTTGCACACTTTGATAAGTTTGGAGGTAAATGCATACATACTCATGAAACCACTGCCACCACCAAGAGTGAACACAACTATCACTCCCAAAGACTTCCTCATGCCCTGCACAGTCCTCATCTCCCACCTCGCCCATCTCCCAGGCAATTTGATGCACTTTCTAAAATTTTTTATAAATAGAATTACACGGTAGGAACTCTTTCTTGTTTGGCTTTTTTCACAGACAGTAATTATCCTGAGAATTTATCCATGTTGTAATTTGTATAAGTAGTTCATTAGTTTCTACCATTGAGTAGTAGTATTCTACCCATGGCTAGCCCATCATTTGTTTAGCCATTCACTTGTTAAGGGACATTTGGGTTGTTTCCAGTTTGGGACTATTACAAAGAAAGCTGCTATGAACACTGACATACAGGTTTCTGTATGGACACATGTTTTCATTTCTCATGGGTAGAGAATGGTTGGGAGTAGAGTGGCTGTGTTATATGGCAGGTGTATGTTTAATTTTTTTTTTTTTGAAACAATGTCACACCATTGTTTCCCAAGCTGGAGTGCAGTAGCATGATTATAGCTCACTGCAGCCTTGACCTCTCAGGTGTTTAATTTTTAATTTTTATTTATTTATTTTTAATTTTTATTTATTTTTAATTTACTTATTTTGAGACAGAATCTCACTCTGTTGCCCAGACTGAAGTGCAGTGGCTCCATCTCTGCTCACTGAAACCTCTGCCTCCTGGGTTCAAGCGATTCTCCTGCCTCAGCCTCCTGAGTAGCTGGGACTACAGGCTTGCACCACTACGCCCGGCTAATTTTTGTATTTTTAGTAGAGATGGGGTTTCACCATGTTGGCCAGGCTGGTCTCGAACTCCTGACCTCAGGGGATCTGCCTGCTTTGGCCTCCCAAAGTGCTGGGATTACAGGTGTGAGCCATTGCACCTGGCCTCAGAAGTTTAATTTTTAAAGAAACTGCTAAACCATTTCCCAAAGTTGTTATACGATTTTACATTCCCACAGCAGTGTAGGGAAGTTCCAGTTCCTTCACACCCTTGTCAGCTCTTGGTATGATGAATCTTTTTAATTTTACCCATTCTACTAGGTATGTAGGGGGTCTCCCCTTGTAGTTTTAATTTGCATTTTTCTACAGCTGGTGATGTTATGTGCTTATTTGCCATGTATATATCTTCTCTGGTAGTATCTGTTTATATTTTTTTTGCTCTCTTAAAAATTGAATTGTATCAGCTGGGTGTGGTGGCTCACACCTGTAATCCCAGCACTTTGGGAGGCCAACGCGGGCAGATCACTTGAGGCCAGGAGTTCGAGACCAGCCAGGTCAACATGGTAAAACCCCTTCTCTACTAAAAATACAAAAATTAGCCAGCTGTGGTAGCCCATGCCTGTAATGTCAGCTACTCAGGAGGCTGAGGCAGGAGAATCGCTTGAACCCTGGAGGCAGAGGTTGCGGTGAGCAGAGATCGCGCCACTGCACTCCAGCCTGGGACACAGAGCGAGACTGTCTTTTTTTTTTTTTCTGACTCTGTCTTATGTATAAAAAATTGAATTGTATCATTACTGAATTTTGAGAGTTCTTTATATATTCTGGATACGAGGCCCTAATCAGGTATATGATTTGCAAATATTTTCTCAGATTCTGTGGCTTATCCTTTCTCTTAGCAGTGTCTTTTGAAAAGCAGAAGTTTTTAATTTTTATGAAGTCTAATTTATTAATTTGTTATGTTGTGTTTTGGGCTTTTGGTGTCATATCTAAGAAATATTTGCCTAGCCTAAGGTTACAAAGGTTTACTTCTATGTGTTCCTCTAGAAGTTTTATAGCTTTAGGGTTTACATTTATGGCTGTGATCCATTTTGAATTAATTTTTGTTTATAATGTGAGGCATGAATTAAAGGTTGTTTTGGGATTTTGTTTGTTTCTATATATGCATATCCAATTATTCCAGCACCCTTTATTGAAAAGATTATCTTCACTGACCTTCTCTTATACCTTTTGAACATCAGTCAGCCATATGTGTCTAAGTTGGTTGCAGTATACAAAACACCACTACACAAAAATCAGTTCTATTTCTATACATTCACAATGAACAATTAGAAATTAAAAAACTTTAAAAAGTCATTTGAAATAACATTAAAAAGCATTAGATACTTACGGATAAATCTAACAAAAGATGTGAAAGACATCTTTCATATATGGAAAACTACAAAGCATTGCTTAGAGAAATTAAGGAACAAAATCAATGGAGAGATATACCATGTTCATGGGTTGGACAAATCAATATCACTAAGGTGCAAAGTCTCCTTCTTGTGCTACTATGCACAACAAGTTGTTGCCAGTCTGTTCTTATTTAAAAGGCCTGATGTGCAGGGGCGTCCATTATGTTGGGTAGAAGGTCACTGACTTCTTAGAGAGCATTTCAGTCTGAAAGATTGCGGGCGATGGCCAGAAGCAACTGAGAAGACTGCTTTGTTTGAAGACAAATATCCCTAGCCACCAATTTCAGTTCGCTTTTTTTATGTAAGGTGTAAGTGCACTTGGGGTTGTTTTCACAACTTTTCATGTGTCTTTAAGTATTTTTAAGCCATTTTTCAGAACTTTAGGGGTCTTTTCCCAAACCTTTTATTTTTTATTTCCTATCCATTTTATCTAGTTGTTACTGCTTCTTTGCCTCTACTGATAGCAAAAAAGTGGTGAAAACGTGAGTGTATAAAACATGAGATTTGTCAAAATCAACATAAATTTTAAACAGCGGAGGACTGAGTAAATAAAATGGAGTTGTTTTCAAGTAGTAGACATCATATGATTCATTTTTTTACTAGAAGAAGATCAAGAAGTAGTTGTCATTGAATGGGGAAGATGTCATGTGTTGGTCATATGTGGGCATGTATGCAGTTGTCTGCCCTTTCTTATTTTTCTGCCATAATTTGAATTGTTTTGTAATAAGAAAAGTAAATAAATAAAATTACAAAAGAAATAGCACAATTAAGATCCAGAATTTTGGAGTTTTTTCTAATTCATCTTTAATTATAGCTGATCTTGTCTGGCAATGTTTTCATGACTTTACGAAAGCTTGTCCAACTCACAAACACTTGTCCACTGCATTCCAGCCTGGGCGACAAAGCGAGACTCTGTCTCAAAAATAACAATAAAAATAATAACAGTAATAATAATATGTATCTAAATGAATAAATATATATGAAACTCCTCAGTATATATCGTGGGAGTCATATCAGTGTTGCTCATTGGACATAGTTGATGTGATTTGAATGCTTCTTCTTGGAAAGGCATGATTCCCTTCTGTGCAGTGGGGAGTCCCTGAGGGTTTCTGTGCAGGGGAGCATTACTGGAGCTGCATGGTGGAAAGGTTGCTCTTGTTCAGAGTGTGAAGAATGAACTGTAGTCAGGAGACTCCAGAGAATAGGAGCTGCATTGAGGTTTTTGAAATCGTTCTGGTGGGTGGTGATGAAATCCTGAACACAGGCGGTGTCAATGCAGGAGACAGAAGAGGCCAGATGTCTTCTCGAGTCCTAAAACTATAGAATGTATTTCATTACTTTCCTTTCATTTGCTCTTCAACCTGTAGCCCTCAACTCTTGCAAGACTCCAATAATCATTATTTAAGGATTCGAGTTATGGAGAAATTCACCTGGCACACAAGAGGTGGGTCAGGAAGCTCAGTTAATGAGTCTGAGAGAGAAAGAAAAGAATTGCCAAGTTTCAGGCAGTGAGCTGGAGACAGTCTGTACTTTTTGGGAACTCCAAAAGGAAGTGTGTTGACTTGGCTGACATTTCAGCGGGGAAAATAAGGAAGGAAGGTGATGGGTGACTGTGAGGCCAGAGGCCTTTGCCTTTTCCGTACACCAGCTCCACAGTGAGCATCCTGAGGGCAGGAACCATATCTGACACATCTCTGAATCCTACCACCCTTAGCTCGTGCAGGCATTTGAAAGGTGCTGTAAGCGAGGGGAATGTTGGAGTCCATTCTGACTCTGCTCACAGGATTGGGAGCCACGCTAACCCGACAACCTCTGAACTCTGGATATGGAACCAGGCCGAGGCTGCCAGCTCTTATTAGACTCTGTAAACCAACCTGATAGATAAGGAAGTGTGATTCACAGGTTCTGGGAAACAGAAAGAGGTGTGGCCTCATACACTATTTTGGTGACTTCATTTAAATGATCGTTAGGACTTGTTGTATATGTTTTTTGGCTACTTCAGAGTTTTGAAAGTCCTAGAGCCATAAGTTTACTCCAATTTCCATTACTTCATAATTCCATTATATGTATTCAGAAAATATCTATCGTATACCAGCCGTAGGAAAGTGAGAGTACCACAGAACTGTGAAATATACATACCATCTGCAAGGAGCTTATAATATTGTAAACAAGGTGAGACTTGTTTACATTGAATAACTAGGGAACAATGTTATGAGAGAATATATAGAAAGTATAATTCAAGTATCTAAAGATGTGATTAAGGCATGTGGAAATGAAGTTATTGCTTCAATTAAATGTATTATCTCTGGAGGACGGCTTGAGTTCAGGAGTTTGAGACCAGGCTGGGCAACATGGTGAGACCCCATCTCTAGGAAAAAAAAAATTAGCCAGGTATGGTGGCATGTGCCTCTAGTCCCAGCTACTCGGGAGGCTGAGGCAGGAGGATTGCTTAAGGCCAGGAGTTTGAGGCTGCAGCGGGGCATAATCATGCCATTGTGCTCTAGCCTGGGTGACAGAGCTAGACCCTGTCTCAAAATAAAATAAAATAAAATAAAATAAAATAAAATAAAATAATAATGAAATAAAATAAAATCATTTTAAAAATAAAATAATAAAATGAAACAGTGTTAGTAATATCACCAATATAGTTATGAGACAGTCCAACTTTATAAAGTAAGTAACTGGCCACCATTTGCCTGGTTGGATTGGCTGTAGTACATTGATATCCTTGTACATTCAAACATTAACTATTCACAGATTTATCTTGGTTTGAGGACCGTTCAGAATGGAAGAACCACTGATAGACTTCCTTTCTCAGCAAAATGACAGAGTAGATACCAAAAAACCCTCCTGCTACAAAAACACCCAGAAATGATAAATAATATAGTGCAAATGCCTTTTAAAATCCTGAGCTGATAAACAATAATCAACTGTTTAAAGCAAAATAATAACAATGTGTCATGGGGTATAACATATGTCAAAGCAAAACATAGAACAATAGCACAAGGGCTTGGGGGAGAGACTGGAAGTCTGCTGTTTCAGATCTTTACAGGATATGTATGTGGTGGTATAACATCACCGGAAGGAAAACTGTGATAAGGTAAAGATATATAGTGGACACCCTAAAACAACCACTAAACTAGTACAACGAGTTATAGTTAATAACCAACAAAGGAGATAAAATGGAATCATAAAACATACTCAGAGAATCTATGATGTGATCATCTCCATAGGAAATCATATGGAATCTACAAAGCTGCTATTAGAATAAGTGAGTTTACAAGGGTGCAGAATACAGAGTCAAGACACCAAAAAATCAATATGCAAAATACTAGCAACAAACAATAAGAAATCGAAATAAATATCATACCATTTGCAGTGACATAAAAAATATGAAATACTTAGGGATATGTCTGACAAAAGATGTACAAGGCTGGCACGCTGAAAATTATAAAACATTTCTGGAGAAATTGCAGAATTCTTAAATAAATCAAGAGAGATACCGTGTTGATGGGTTTTTAAGAAGACTCAATATTATTAAGATATCAATTCTTCCCCAAACTGATCTTTAAATTTAATGAATTCCAATCAAAATTTTAGCAGGCTTTTGTTGGTAGACATTGATACACTGTTTGTTAAATTCAGTAGGCCAGGCGGGGTGGCTCACGCCTGTAATCCCAGCACTTTGGGAGGATCCCTTGAACCCAGGAGTTTGAGACCAGCCTGAGCAACATAGCAAGACCTCATCTCTACAAATTAAAAAAATAATAACTAGCTGGGCATGGTGGTGCACATCTGTGGTCTCAGGTACTCAGGAGGCTGAGGTGGAAAGATCACTTGAGCTTAGGCAGCTGAGGCTGCAGTGAGCTATGATCATGCCACTGCACTCCCCGCTGGGAGACAGAGTGAGACTCTATCTTGGAAAAATTTAATTTAATTTAATTTAATTTAATTTAAAAAATTTAATTTAAAAATTTTAATTTTAAAAATTTAATTAAATTAAAAAATTTAATTTAAAAATTTTAATTATAAAATTTTAATTAAATTTAAAAATTTAATTTAAAAAATTAATTTAATTTAATTTAAAAACAAAAAAACAGTAAAGGATCTAGAAAAGCAAACTCAGCTTTGAAAATGATTAGCACAGTAGGAGGACTTATACTACCTGACTTTAAGACCTATGACAAAGCAACAATAATCAAGGCAGCACGGTATTGGTGTCAAAACAAACAGACACATAGATCGATGGAATCGATTGGTGAGTCAGCCAGAAACACACACAATACACTTAGTCCTTGCTCAGGATCCTACACAAACAGCCCTGGAGGTCCACGGCTGCTGGAAATGGGCAGGGAACACTTCCTGTACAAAACCTGTTACAGATGCAAGAGACAGGCTGGCTGTCCTGGCGGGAAGGAGCAGAATATCTGAAAGCTTCAACCATGAGGTCCAGACACACGAGGCCTGCGTGAGACTCAGGACAATGGAAAACTGCCCCCAGTGCCACCACCATCGGACAAGCAGGCAGCAAGCAGGTAGCACAGCCATCTATCATGGAGGGCAGGATGGGGTGGGCAAGTGTGGAGAAATAACACTCTGTGGTTTAGGCAGGTAGAGAAGGACAGAAGATCAGTGTGGAGCAGAACATGGAGAAAAAGCCTCTGACACTCCAGCACCAGATAGCACCAGAGGCCTCAAAGCCAGTGGGGCTCTGCAGGTAACCATAGCAACAGCAGCATCCAAATCCACCTCAACAACTTGTGAGATCGACTCCATCTCTCACGCCATCAGCTTAGCAGAAGATGTGTCCTCATTGGAATGGGGAGTAGTGGCGGCCACTGGACAATAGATGCCTGAGACAGGAAGTGAGCAGAGCGCTGCCCCTGTGACAGAGGAGAAGGCTTTGGGATGGGAGTTGAATGGAAAGAACAATCTTGAATTTGAGATTTCTCCCCTCCCACCCTGCCCCCAGCCTGCCTGGTACAGGATCCTTCAGAAGCAAGAGCAGAGGTCATGGAATTCTAACAGGGATGTGTTAGTGAGGTTTGGGATGTTTTTGTGTGGACTTAGGTGATGGCTCTCTTGTGACTCACCCACTGTGTCCTTTGCCCAGTTAGGCCATTAGGGTATTTGTCTTGTGTTGATTTTTATAAGAATTCTCTCCGTGCTAAGGTTCTTAACACTTTGGCATTTGTTGCTAATGTTTTTTGTTTGGTTGGTTTGTTGGTTTTTGGGGGGTTTTCTGTTTGTTTGAGACAGATTCTTGCTCTGTCACCCAGGCTCGAGTGCAGTGGCACAATCTTGGCTCACTGCAACCTCCGCCTCTCAGGTTCCTGTGATTCTCCTGCCTCAGCCTCCTGAGTAGCTGGGATTACAGGCGCCCACCACCACATCCAGCTAATTTTTTGTATTTTAGTAGAGACGGGCTTTCACCATGTTAGCCAGGCTGGTCCTGAACTCCTGACCTCAGGTGATTCGCCTGCCTCAGCCTCCCAAAGTCCTCGGATTACAGGCGTGAGCTACCGCACCCAGCCTATTCTTTATCGAATTTACTTCCGGCCACACTTGCACTTTTCCAGGGGCATGTACCAACAACTGTAACTAAACAACACCTGTCACTTCCAACAGAGCTGAGCTGTGTCCATTGGTTCATCCACTCTCTCTCCAATGCACTATATCCTGGGAATGGAAAGCATTCCAAAATGTATGAATGACCAACCAGAGCTGAAAGCAACAGCAGCCTTTGGGAAAATGATGCTTCATGGGGAATAAGGTGTCTTTGCAGTTGCAAAGGAATGATCTGATCTTGGCCGGGTGCGGTGGCTCACACCTGTAATCCCAACACTTTGGGAGGCCAAAGCGGGATGATCACAAGGTCAAGAGATCAAGGCCATCCTGGCCAAAATGGTGAAACCCTGTCTCTACTAAAAATACAAAAATTAGCTGGGTGTGGTGGTGTGCACCTGTAGTCACAGCTATTCAGGAGGCTGAGGCAGGAGAATCGCTTGAACCCAGGAGGTGGAGGTTGCAGTGAGCCAAGATCGTGCCACTGCACTCCAGCCTGGTGACAGAGTGAAACTCCGTCTCAAAAAAGAAAGGCAAGGCAAGGTAAGGCAAGGTAAGGCAAGGCAAGACAAGGCAAGGCCCGATCTTGCAAGTACTGCCAAGCTAACACACACATGTGCACACACAAGGGAGTGGATTTTTGAGATGGAGGTGGGAGAATTTGATCCAGTTAAAAACTATTAGAATAGAAATTCAGGGCCTGGCATGGTGGCTCACACCTGTAATCCCAGCACTTTGGGAGGCCGAGGCGGGCAGATCATTTGAGGTTAGGAGTTCAAGACCAGCCTGGCCAACTCCCAGGCTAGAGTGCAGTGGTGTGATCGTGGCTCACTGCAACCTCTGCCTCCCAGGTTCAAGCAATTCTCCTGCCTCAGCCTCCCCAGTAGCTGGGATTACAGGCGCCTGCCACCACGCCCGGCTAATTTTTTGTATTTTTAATAAAGATGGGGTGTCACCATGTTGGCCAGGCTCAAAGATGCATTTCTAAAGGTGATGCTGGCCGCAGAGACCTGTGGGAGAGCCTGCAGGGGGCCTATCTGGAGGCACTTGCTGTCGTTCAGTGAGAATTGGAGGCTGGGTCCACGGTGGAGAGGGGTGAAGACTTTAAGAGAGACTGAGGGCTTGGAGAGGGGTGGGAAATGAAGGGAGAGGGTGTTTCATCGATGACCCTCTCCCCACGCCCTCATCTGTAGTTTTGCTGGCTGACTGGCACTTCAGGCGAGGCTCCAGGAAGGCTTCTGGGTGAGGATGCTCTTCCTGTACATCCTCCACGTGCCTGGCACCTGGGGCTTGTCCTGAGGCACCCCTAGGATAAGCTGGACACTGACTACCGCTGCGTGTGCCTGGAGAACGCCTCTTACAAGTGGAAACCTCTTCACCGTCCCCTGTCCTCTGCACTTTCGCAGGCATCACGTGCCCTCCCCCCATGTCCGTGGAACACGCAGACATCTGGGTCAAGAGCTACAGCTTGTACTCCAGGGAGCGGTACATTTGTAACTCTGGTTTCAAGCGTAAAGCCGGCACGTCCAGCCTGACGGAGTGCGTGTTGAACAAGGCCACGAATGTCGCCCACTGGACAACCCCCAGTCTCAAATGCATTAGTGAGTAGCCCTTGCCACCCCACCTTCCTCCCTCCCCCACCCTGCCAAGGCTGCACAGAGAGAAGACCCCATCTCAGGGGTCAAGGGATCTGTGCTGAGGTCTGAGGCTAAACACACCAGTGGGGGCCGGGCACGGTGGCTCACACCTGTAATCCCAGCACTTTGGGAGGCCGAGGCGGGAGGATCACTTGAAGTCAGGAGTTCCAGATCAGCCCGGCCAACATGGTGAAACCCCGTTTCTACTAAAAATACAAAAAGTAGCCGGGCGTGGTGGCAGGCGCCTGTAATCCCAGCTACTTGGGAGGTTGAGGCAGGAGAATTGCTTGAACCCGGGAGGTAGAGGTCACAGTGAGCCGCGATCACACCACTGCACTCCAGCCTGGGTGACACAGCAAGACTCCATCTCAAAAAAGAAAGAAAAAAAGAAAGACACCAGTGTGATCCTCAGCAACAGCTCCTGGCGTTGGAAACACACAGGTGCTGGGGTCACAGGATTCTGGGTTTAAATCCTGGCTTTGCCGCCTACCACCCAGGAGGCCTTGGGCAGCTCTTGTGATATTCTGGCACTCTGGCTGGTCATCTGGAAAACGGACTTGATATCCACACTGCGGGCTGTGGGAGGGTGGCGTGAACCCTGGTAAATATTAACTCTTATTACATGTAGTGCTTTGATTTGAGACGATGCTGGCAGGAGAATTTGGCTGCAGAGCTGGGCGGGCACTCATGAGCACGCTAGTGTGAGAAATGTTTGGATTTCCCATGAGAAGGTGGATGTTGGAAGCCATCACTGCTCCTCTCTCAGTACCCAGCCCCGGGGATGGGCACAGGCCCTGGAGCAGGGCTGCCCTTTGCTCAGTCACCTGTGCATGGTGTCCAGCAGGGGTGAGGGAAGGTGGCAAGAATCAACTTTTTTTTTTAACTGTCTGCACCTGGATAAACGTCCCAGAAGCAGCCAAACCATCTCGGGTGGGAACCACTTGGAGCTGTTTCTGGAACACTCAGGCCCACCTCTGCAGGCTTCTCTCCTTCCCCAGTTCATCTCTGGGGCAGGGATGAGCGCGCCCCTGCATGGAGCGGCCCCATAGCTCACGCCCTCTGCAGCAGGGGACAGAGGGGAGCTCCTTGAGGCGCTGGACATTGCCACTGGCTTGGTAGTGGTAGCTCAGCCTCCTCCCCCAGAACAGAGCGAGTCACACAGGCAGCAGAGGGAAGGCAGGGAGGAAGCCTCCGACTTGTTCCAAGAAATCACTCGCTGGGGACACAGCACCCCGTGGCATCAGTGAGTGAATGGGAAAGCTGAGCGTGGCGGGGTGAGCAGGATCTGTGGGAACCACGGTGGGTCTTACTCTGCCAGTCCTGGGACTCCCTGGAACCTGTCTGCCCGAGGTAAAATGAGGGCTTTCTCACTGCAGGGCAAGTCAGGTCTCCTCGACACTCCATGTCCTTTGGGCAAATGAATCCGGGATGGAGAAGAGCTATGGGCTCCAGGGTCAGGATGGGAGAGGAAAGAAGAGAACCCGGAATCAGGATTTTAGAGTCCAAAGACTGGAGGCCTCTTTAGGTTTCACCTAGCCCAAAGGATCCTTCCACGTTCTGATCACTCACAACTCCCTCTGTTATGCTTCCCAAACTCTTGTGCTTTGAATGACTTTTTTCCTGCTCAACAAGTGAAATGTAAGCCAGGTATGGTGGCTTACACCTGTAATCCCAGCACTTTGGGAGGCCGAGATGGGAGGGATTTCTTGAGACCAGGAGTTCGAGACCAGCCTCAGCAACATAGCAAGACCCTGTCTCTACCAAAAAAATTAAAAGATAAAAATTACCTGGGCATTGAGGCACGTACATGTAGTCCCAGCTACTCAGGAGACTGAGGCAGGAGGATCTCTTGAGCCCGGGAGGTCAAGGCTGCAGTGAGTTGTGATCACACTACTGCACTCCAACCTGGGCAACGGAGCAAGACCCTGTCTCAAACAAACAAAATAGAATCTATTGAGTGATCATTTATTCTCCCAAGAATAACCAGCATTATAAAATTGAATTGATATCATTAATATAATCTCAGCCAAAATAAATTTGATATTTAACTTGTGCAGTCTTTTTGGAAATGCAAGAAAAATAGTTTGCAGTCTATCTTTGCATTCGGGTGGGGAAACATTGTTTCTTATGCTTTTAACCTGTCTGAGGAAGCCAGAGGCCTCCACTGTAAGTTCATGTGTTGATATATTTTATTTGTATCCCGTTCTGAAGCCAGCCCAGGTTCCAGGCTCAGGATCATAAGTGCCATGTGGTTATCCTCTCTCTAGGAGACCCTGCCCTGGTTCACCAAAGGCCAGCGCCACCCTCCACAGTAACGACGGCAGGGGTGACCCCACAGCCAGAGAGCCTCTCCCCTTCTGGAAAAGGTAGGAAGGTCAGAAACTTCTCGAGGACATTCATTCCCTCCCAACACCCAGAGGCCCGCTCACCAATCCTGCAGACTCACGGACCTCTGTGGTGTGCCACTGCAGACTTAGGCAATAGCGCAAACGTCTTATTCAATCAAGAATAAGAACGTCCAACTTAATTTTCTTTTTCAAATCAAAGTTGCTTGATATCCAGGTGTTATATGTGCAGAATTAATAGTGGTTTAAAACTCACTAATATGTCATATCAAATTTAGTTGTAGACACTTATCTTTGTCAAGAACTGAAAGCAGACTGAGGTTTGAGGTTGCATGTGTGTTAGCCCTCAACATTTTCATGGGTGCTGGCAGAAAAGAGGGCACTCCAGGATGGGAGGCCAGCAGGCAGCGGGAGCTTCAGCATGTTTACATCAATTCCCTCGTCCCCTAGCCAGCAGGGGCAGCACAGTTGGGCCTGAACAGATGCCTGTCCACTCAGCGGGCTGCACTGTGGGAGAGGAAGCCTGGGCTTCCGAGACCCAAGCGTTTTGTCATGGGCAGTAATCACACCTGCTCTCTGCTCCAGGGGAGACCATGTCCCCGTCTTCCAAGGCGCTTGCTGTAGAAGCACCCTTGAGAGGATGGTCCAGAGAAAGGGCCATCAGCTCCTCTGTCTGCAAGATGTGCAAAAATGTGAGAGACCTGTGGAGAGCTGCCCCCACCAGACCTAAACACCAGCACATCCCAGTGACTGCTCTATTATAGAGGCGCTGCCTGAAGCTGCCAGTGTCCTGTGTTTCAACAGAGTCTTTGGTGCTTGTCAGGCCCAATTTCCTCAGCGCTTTCTCAGTGTTCAGAAAATTTGAAATCTTGGATGCTTTCTTGGGATCCTCCGCCCTGCATGCTATGATACCTTTGTGCTACAGTTCACTCTTGGCTTTAGTGTTGCATCGTCCAGCCTGTGGCTTTCCCTGGTCCTGTCTACTCCTTTGCCCCCGGGGGGATGGGCCTGTCTGTTGTCATTCATACTACAGGACTCAGCCATCCTTTGCGGAGTGTCAGTTGTCAGCCGTGGGTACACACTGACATCACCTGGGCACTCCAGTTGGCCTGGGTGCAATCTGGGACTCACGCCTCTCCAGCCCCAGGTGGATCTTTTTTTTTTTTTTTTTTGAGATGGGGTCTTGCTCTATTGCCCAGTCTGGAGGGCAGAGGTGAAATCTTGGCTCACTGCAACCTCTGCCTCCCAGGTTCAAGTGATTTTCCTGCCTCAGCCTCCCAAGTAGCTGGGATCACAGGCGTGCACCACCACGCCTGGCTAATTTCTGTATTTTTAGTAGAGACAGGGTTTCACCATGTTGGTCAGTCTGGTCTCAAACTCCTGACCTCAGGTGATCCGCAAGCCTTAGTCTCCCAAAGTGCTGGGATTACAGGTGTGAGCCACTGCACCCAGCCCACAGGTGGTTCTTAAGTGGCCAAGGCTGAGGCCTGCATCTTAAGGGAGGAAGAAGCAGCTAAACAAGGTTCCCTCCTAGTGAGTCACCTGCACAGGGAGGAAGGGGTTGAGGGGCTGGCTCCATTTAAACTTGAAGTAATTCTACAACCCCTTTGATCTGAGTCACACCTGGTTCACCCAAGGAGGAGAATGATCAAGTAGGCTCTCCCAGCCCCACCTTCGCATCCCCAATACCTGGTCCGATGGCCATTGTCGAGACACAATGGTGCAGTCAGAAGCCCCGATGTGACAGCAGCCTTTGACCCGAGCTGGCACGACCGTGGGCACTTGGCTGAGGATGCCTTGGTGCGTCCTGTGCAGGGAGCCCTGGAGCATTGGCAGTGAGCGTAGGGCAAGTTATATGAAAGGTGGTGACACAGGATTAAGGGGCGTGAGGCCTTCTCATGACCTGTGTGGCTGGGAGACCATGGGAACGCGGCAACAACAGTGCGTCCAGAGAGCCACAGCGCTTGGCCTCACGTTTCCTAGATTCCGTGGCTGTCACAATGGAAGACACATTTTTCATGGAGAGGGAACAGCACAGTTACGCCACACCCTTACAGTGCAGGGGCAGCCACCTTCCAGGGAAGGACAAGGAAGACAGGGAAGACGCTGAACACAAGGCAGCCTCTGTTCCTGAGAGCAAGCTCATCAGGACGCTTTCCTCCCACACAGCCCGGAGAGTTCAGGCCAGAGCCCAGGCTTCCCGTGTTTCACACGCAGCCGCTCCGAGCGTCCTCGGCCAGCGCAGCTTCACCTGCTCTCAGCTGAGCCTCCAGCGTTGGGCCTGCCTTCTCTAGTAAACAAGCTGAACGACTCAGATCTTTGACACCTTTTCTTTTCTTCCCCCCACCTTTTTTTTTAAGAGACAGGGGTCTCACTCTGTCCCCCAGGCTAGAGTGCAATGGCTCAATTATAGGTCACTGCAGCCTCAAACTCCTAGGCTAAGGTGATTCTCTTGCCTCAGCCTCTCAGATAGCTGGAACTATAGGCACATGCCCACCACACCTGGATAATTTATCGTTATTCTTATTTTTGTAGAAACAGGGTCTTGCGGCAGGGCACAGTGGCTCTCGCCCGTAATCCCAGCACTTTGGGAGGCCAAGGTGGGTGGATCACCTAAGGTCAGGAGTTTGAGACCGGCCTGGCCAACGTGGTGAAACCCCATCTCTATTAAAAATACAAAAATTAGCTGGGCGTGGTGGTGGACACCTGTAATTCCAGCTACTTGGGAGGCTGAGGCAGGGAGAATTGCCTGAACCCGGAAGGCAGAGGTTGCAGTGAGCTGAGATCGCGCCACTGCACTCCAACCTTGGCAACAGAGCAAGATTCCATCTCAAAAAAAGAAGGAAAAGAAACAGGGTCTTGCTGTGTTGCCCAGGCTGGTCTTAAACTCCTGGGCTCAAGTGATCCTCACACCTCAGCCTCCCAAAGTGTTGGGATTATAGGCATGACCCACTGTGTCTGGCTGATCTTTTCTTTATACGTGCCGTGATAGTAGCCATGTTCTTTAGTGTTTTCACAGGTCCTATGGCCCTTCCAGAGGAACGGCTATGTCACCCTCTCAAGGAGCAGTTGGCTGTGAGAGAGGGAGGGCTGGTCAGGGTGACTCACTATGGCAGCTCCCACATCACCCCGTGCTGCAGCTGAGAGGAGGGGAGTCTGCACACTGATGTTGTCCCTGCCTTGGACTCTCCTACAGAGCCCGCAGCTTCATCTCCCAGCTCAAACAACACAGCGGCCACAACAGCAGCTATTGTCCCGGGCTCCCAGCTGATGCCTTCAAAATCACCTTCCACAGGAACCACAGAGATAAGCAGTCATGAGTCCTCCCACGGCACCCCCTCTCAGACAACAGCCAAGAACTGGGAACTCACAGCATCCGCCTCCCACCAGCCGCCAGGTTAGCACTCGCTTTGCCCCAGGAGAGGTCAGTTCCCCATTGCTGCTTCTGAGATCGGGGCTGAGATCCGGCACAAGGCAGCTTTATACCATCAATCCAAAGTCAGGATTCACTGGGCAGCCTGCTGGCCCCGGCCACCAGCCACGGCGTCCTGGCCTGACCTCTTTCTCCGTGGCTTTCTCTGTGGCTGGGGCAGCTGCAAAAGCAAGCCCACACCCCCCCAAGATGTGACAGGGCCAGCCTTATCACCCGCATGGCAGAGCCTGTGCAGCTGGGAGTGGCATCTGTGCCCTCCTGCAGTAGGAGGTGGTGAAGCTGCCTACAGTCCGGGGCCAGGATCTGTGGAATGGAGGAGCTGAGGGTAATGGGGACCTTCTGTAAGGCTTATCTGATTCTTAAGTGTGGCCAGCACCTCAGTGAGCTACCCTGCTTGTTCTTTGCTAAAATGAGTCTGGTTACGCCAGCCACGAGTCTCCCAGGGTGCTAAGATGGGAGCCAAGCCATGCAGATTTTCTCCTGCTTCATGAGGAACTAGGACCTCTAGGACTCGAGCCGTGATGCTGTCCTCTCTTTTCCGCAGGTGTGTATCCACAGGGCCACAGCGACACCACTGGTAAGTGTGTCCCTTTGTCCGGTATGTTTATGATCAGGGTGACCGCAGTCCCAGGGTGCTGGGTGGTCCTGGCCCAGGCCCGCTGCCCCAGCACAGCCCTGACAGCAGCCCCTTCCACACTCAGAAGGCCTCCATCAGATAATAAGTTAAGTAATAGCTGATTTATGGAATTCTCTGTTTGATGTGCCCATTTTTCTAAATATTGGTAGCTTCTAGCTGTCAGGCTACTGGGGTTGAACCCAGAGAGCTGGCACCCCAAATAAGGGCTCAAGGTCAGCTCTTCACAGCAGGGTGCACCTCTTTTGCATGGAGCATCCAAAACTACAGGTGCTGATGCCAGCACTGACGTTACAGCATCTCTGCCAGAAGCTGCCAATTCCTCTCCAGGGCGTGGCACCGTGCACTTAACAGAGAAGCTGTCCACATTTTCGGTATAAAATGCTACTCTTGGCCAGGCATGGTGGCTCACACCTGTAATCCCAGCAGTTTGGGAGGCCGAAATGGGAGGATTGCTTGAGGCCAGAATTTGAGGCCAGCCTGGTCAACATAGCAAGACCCCATCTCTATTAAAAAAAAAAAAAAAGAAAAAGAAAAAGAAAAAAAGTTAACAAAACAAAATAAAACCAAAAATCTGCTCCTCTTTACAGAAGTCACACGCAATGCTAAGGCTAGGAGAATAGAAAAGAGAACGTGCAAGTGATGATAAGGAGGAAAAGGGGAAAGCGTTTACAAGACTAAAAGAAAAAGCTGAAGGGAGGGGAGGAGAGCTGAGAGAGGAGGGGAGAACAGGAGGAAGAAGGGAAGCAGGCAGGGAGGAAGAACGCAGGTAATGAGAAGAATGCAAGTCATGCTCCAGGCTGACAAGCTTCCAAAGTAACAAAAAACCCAACTGTAATTTGATATGGACAAAAATTATTTTAATCTTCTGTTCATAAATTTTTCTGCTAGAGAATGACTCATATTTTTGTGGTGTCATTTTTACCTGCATCAAACGTCATCTGGGAAAACATCAAGTGACTTTGGACATTTTAGCAGTTAATTGATTAGAATCGTTTAAAAAACAATCAGGCTGGGCGAGGTAGCTCACACCTATAATCCCAGCAGTTTGGGAGGCCGAGGGGGGCTGATCACTGGAGGCCAGGAGTCCCAGACCAGCCTGGACAACATGACAAAACCCCATCTTTACTAAAAATACAAAAAATTAGCCAGACATGGTGGCACATGCCTGTAGTCCCACCTACTCGGGATGCTGAGGTGGGAGAATTGCTGGAACCCAGGAGGCAGAGGTTGCAGTGAGCTGTGATCACACCACTGCACTCTGGCCTGGGCAACAGGACAGGACCCTGTCTCAAAAAAAAGACGAAAAGCAAATCCCATTTCTAACTCAAAAATCCCCTTGCAGGAAGGAAGCAACACTTGCTACCAGATTTCCAGGCATCCTTCCAGAGAGACTGTATAAATAAACATATAGAGGATAAGGAATGCTGGACAGTTGCTTCTTTTCTCCTTTTCTGTACCATGTTTGTTTCCACTTGCTGGTATACCTTGTAGATCCTCCCATATCAGGACACAAAAACCATCTCATCGTTTTTAACAGCTACAGAATATTCCACTGTATGGAATTCCTACCATTAATTTAGCCAACCCCCTATCTGGACATGTGATTGCTACATTCTGTTGTTATCTTACAAACAGCCATTAATTGAAAATCCATAGGTGCAAGAACATCTGTAGGATAAAATCCTACATATAAAGTTCAGGGGTCATTTTTTCTATATACATTTTCCAACAACTATTTGATGATGGGCTATAATCTATAATCTGCTTTTGCTAGTTCATGACTTTTATTAGATTAAAAAATCAGCCGGGCGCTGTGGCTCATGCCTGTAATTCCAACACTTTGGGAGGCCAAGGTGGGCAGATCACTTGAGGCCAGGAGTTCGAGACCAGCCTGGCCAACATAGCAAAACACCATCTCTACCAAAAATACAAAAATTAGCCAGGTGTGGTGGCAGGCGCCTGAAATCCCAGCTACTCAGGAGGCTGAGGTAGGAGAATCGTTTGAACCTGGGAGGGGGAGGTTGCAGTGAGCAAACTCGAGCCGCTGCACTCCAGCCTGGGCAACACAGTGAGATTCCGTCGCAGAAAAAAAAAAAAAAAGAAGAAGAAAAGAAAAAGTTGGCCAGGCGTGGTGGTTCACGCCTGTAATCCCAGCACTTCGGGAGGCTAAGGCAGGCGGATCACGAGGTCAGGAGTTCAAGACCAGCCTGCCTAACATAGTGAAACCCTGTCTCTACTAAAAATACAAAAATTAGCCGGGCATGGTGGCACCTGCCTGTAGTCCCAGCTACTCGGGAGGCTGAGGCAGGAGAATTGCTTGAACACTGGAGCTGGAGGTTGTAGTGAGCTGAGATCACGCCACTGCACTCCAGTTTGGGCAACAAAATGACACTTCATCTCAAAAAGAAAGAAAGAAAGAAAAAGTTGTAGGTAGACTGGACGCAGTGGCTCATGCCTGTAAACCCAGCACTTTGGGAGGCTGAGGCAGGTGGATCACTTGAGGTCAGGAGTTTGAGACTAGCCTGGCCAACATGGTGAAACCCCGTCTCTACTGAAAATACAAAAAATTAGCCAGGCGTGGTGGTGTGTGCCTGTAATCCCAGCTACTCAGAAGGCTGAGGCAGGAGAATCACTTGAGTTCAGGAGGCAGAGGTTGCAATGAGCCGAGATAGTGCCTCTGCACTCCAGTCTAGGTGACAGAGGGAGACCCTGTCTCAAAAAAAAAAAAAAAAAAAATTGCAAGTGAAAAAAAAATGAAATTGGAAGGAAAATGGCACTGTGTGCTATTGTTTCTAAATCTGTGAAGTTGAAGCAAAGTGGGCGTTGTACTGGGGACAGCAGAGGAGGGGTGTGTCCCTGTCTGCTTTTTCAACCCTGGCTTTAGCAGCAGGAATGCTCTCTCCTCATCGCACTCTTGGCTTTGCCCTTGAGGCTCTTACTGCTCCCTCCTGACTTGCTCCGTCCCTGCCCCGTCACCCCAGGCACTCTGCCTGAGAAGGACAAGGATGAGGAGCAGAGGTGTGGGACGACTGGGAGCTGGCACCCTCAGCAGGAAAGAGAATGTGTTTTTGCCTAGACATAGAATCGGGGGAATTGCATGGACCTTAAGAAATGTCCTTAGCAGGAGGCTGGTTGGGAGGCACTTGGATCCCTCTGTAAGAACATCCATGGTAAAGAATTTGTGGTTCGTAGCAATGAATGTGCTTCTGGGTATCTCAGCGTGGTCTCCTCCCTTTCAGTGGCTATCTCCACGTCCACTGTCCTGCTGTGTGGGCTGAGCGCTGTGTCTCTCCTGGCATGCTACCTCAAGTCAAGGTGAGTTGCACTGGATACTCCCTCTGCAAGAGTTAGACTTCCCCATGAGAAAAGAGCTGCACCTGGCCGGGCGCGGTAGCTCACGCCTGGAATTCCAGCACTTTGGGAGGCCAAGGCGGGCAGATCACTTGAGGTCAGGAGTTTGAGACCAGCCTGGCCAACGTGGTGGAACCTCGTCTCTACTAAAAATATGAAAATTAGCTAAGCTTGGTGGTGCACACCTGTAATCCCAGCTATTCGGGAGGCTGAGGCAGGAGAATCGCTTGAACCCGGGAGGCGGAGGTTGCAGTGAGCCAAGATTGCGCCACTGCACTCCTACCTGGGCAACAGAGCAAGACTCTGTCTCAAAAAAAAGAAAAAGAAAAGAGCCCCACCATAGTGATTCCAGAATGCCCCCTCCCAAGAAGGACGCCTTTCCTGGCCATCGGCTCTCACACACCCCTTCTCTAGGAGCCAATGAGTGCCAGAGCCGAGGAGCAGTGAGCTAGGCCCAAGCCCAAGTGCCCCCTACCCCTGCTCATGGTAGAAATGGGGCGGCCAGAGAAAGTGCACCAGGTGGCCAACGCGTGCAGTCCTACCCATTCTTCTTGTGATACCCTCATGAATATATTCTTGAAAGTCCTCATTGAATAGGGGTATGCCTTCTTATAAATATACTGATTCATGTTAGCCTTAATTTTGTATTTCTAATCATTGAAATTCTGCATCTCAGCATTTCTGGCAAAAATATTTCTGCCACTTGCTAACTTTTTTAATTTTTCTCATTTTTTTAATCTTTAGGCAGTATTATTATTCTTTGATTAAAGCCTCAAATGGCATTCTAGCCTTCATTTTGTACTTCTATCAATTAGTAACCAGTATTCCAGCATTCCATACTGATACGGATATCAGATTTGTCCAAACTAAACTTTTAGTTACTATTAATAGTTATAAAACATTCTTTTCTAAATGTGATATCAATATAAAAATTATGTGACCCTGGCTGGGCACGGTAGCTCATGCCTGTAATCCCAGCACTTCGGGAGGCCAAGGCAGGCAGATCGCGTGAGGTCAGGAGTTCGAGACCAGCCTGACCAACATGGAGAAACCCTGTCTCTACTAAAAATACAAAATAAGCAGGCCATGGTGGTGCATGCCTGTAATGCCAGCTACTAGGGAGGCTGAGACAGGAGAATTGCTTGAACCAGGGAGGCGGAGGTTGCAGTGAGCCAAGATCACACCATTGCACTCCAGCCTGGGCAACAAGAGCAAAACTCCATCTCAAAAAAAAAAAAAAATTATGTGACCCTTTGAGCCTAATTTTGACAAAATGCACATTCCATGAAATGCTACTATAAAGTCAAAATGAAAACCAGTATCTAAAACTTCACATAAATCTTCAAAAGCTGTGAATACCATCCCGACCAATAAAAAAGCCATAAACCTTATAAACAGTTGAGAAATTAACAAACATTGATATGTTACTCAAAAATTTGTCCAAAGAATTCAAAAAATGAAAAATGTTGACAAAACAGAAAATGACTTTTAAGACAATTTTCAAAATATCACTATTAATAACTACAGAATTTCCAATATAAAATGCTGAATTTGGAGTTATATTCTTAACCAGTTATAATGAATAAATATATTCACTGAATATATTTTTTAAATGTACATACCATCTCTTTATGAATAATACATTAAAATATATTCTTAAAAAGGATTTGTAAATTTGGTATATACGGCCAATAAATATGTTCATAAGAGGAAAATAGCAATATTTACTGGCTATATGAAAGATATCTCAGTTGGGTATGGTGGCTTATGCCTGTAATCCCAGCACTTTGGGAGGCTGAGGTGGAAGGATTACTTGAGCCTAGCAGTTTGAGACCAGCCTGGACAACATAGTGAGACCCCATCCCCCCACACACAAAAAATCTAATTTTTAAAAAGCTCAAAAAGTAAAATAAATATATCTTTAGGAAGAATTGGCATGGTCGGGCATAGTGGCTCACACCTGTAATCCCAGCACTTTGGGAGGCTGAAGTGCATGCATCGCTTTTTTTGTGACCAGCCTGGCCAACATGGTGAAACCTGATCTCTACAAAAAATACAAAAAGTTAGCTGGGCGTGGTTGTCTGCAGAGGCTGCAGCAAGCCAGCATCACACCACTGCACTCCAGCCTGGGAGACAGAGCAAGAACCTGTCTCAGAAAAAAAAAAAAAAAAAAAGAAGAATTGGTAAATTTGATGAGTGTAATTACTTGGTCATTTGGTGAATTGATTCTTTCCATAAACTTGTTTTTTGCAAATGGGTTATTAGTTAGATTTGCCATTTGACAAATTGGCTGTTAGCAAATTATTGTCAGTGAATTGACCCCCATCCTGCCTTATTTTAGCTCTCACTCCAGGGAGCTCACACTGCTTACCTTAAAATGGCCTAAAGAGCTGCTGCTCCTCCGGAGGGACATTTCACCAGCCCTGGTAGAAGGTGCCGGCCAGATGCCCAGGGCATCAGCACCCAGGCAGCTCCAGACAGGCCAGCCACGTATGACCAGTGTCCTGCCTCGCCTGTGCTTGTCATTCGGGAGCTGATTGATTTGTGTATTTCTTTATTTATTTCACACATACTAAGTGCTAAGAACTGTTTTTAAAAGCTTCATGAATATTAAATCACTTTTTTCAAGATGATCAACTCTGGTTTGGCTAGGCTCCCAGTCACTCTCTCCTTCTCTTGTTCCTGCCATTTGAATGGCTTTTTGGCAGAGGACTGGCAAAGCGTGGGGTGATGGCAGGGTGGCGTAAGTTGCTCCAACAGCACTTGGTGAGTCTTTGGTGGATGGGGAGGTTGGAAATACCTGGAGAGGATTTATTCTCATCATATTGTCCTGGTTGGTCTTGAACTTCTGGGCTCAAGCGATCCTCCCACGACAGCCTCCTAAAGTGCTAGGATTACAGGCATGCGCCACCACACCTGGCCCCTAGATAGGATTTAATACACTCGGTAGAGGTAGGCATTCTAGGTTCTCTCCATCTCTGAGGACTAAGTGCTCTCTGTCTGACTCCCGTGGCAGGGCCTCTGTCTGCTCCTGCCATCCCCGCAGTGCTGGACATACATGCTCAGTGGGAAGCGTCTGTTGATTTGAGGGCAACCCCCTCCTCTTTTCAAAACCTATGAACCACCTGCTTTGCAGGCAAACTCCCCCGCTGGCCAGCGTTGAAATGGAAGCCATGGAGGCTCTGCCGGTGACTTGGGGGACCAGCAGCAGAGATGAAGACTTGGAAAACTGCTCTCACCACCTATGAAACTCGGGGAAACCAGCCCAGCTAAGTCCGGAGTGAAGGAGCCTCTCTGCTTTAGCTAAAGACGACTGAGAAGAGGTGCAAGGAAGCGGGCTCCAGGAGCAAGCTCACCAGGCCTCTCAGAAGTCCCAGCAGGATCTCACGGACTGCCGGGTCGGCGCCTCCTGCGCGAGGGAGCAGGTTCTCCGCATTCCCATGGGCACCACCTGCCTGCCTGTCGTGCCTTGGACCCAGGGCCCAGCTTCCCAGGAGAGACCAAAGGCTTCTGAGCAGGATTTTTATTTCATTACAGTGTGAGCTGCCTGGAATACATGTGGTAATGAAATAAAAACCCTGCCCCGAATCTTCCGTCCCTCATCCTAACTTTCAGTTCACAGAGAAAAGTGACATACCCAAAGCTCTCTGTCAATTACAAGGCTTCTCCTGGCGTGGGAGACGTCTACAGGGAAGACACCAGCGTTTGGGCTTCTAACCACCCTGTCTCCAGCTGCTCTGCACACATGGACAGGGACCTGGGAAAGGTGGGAGAGATGCTGAGCCCAGCGAATCCTCTCCATTGAAGGATTCAGGAAGAAGAAAACTCAACTCAGTGCCATTTTACGAATATATGCGTTTATATTTATACTTCCTTGTCTATTATATCTATACATTATATATTATTTGTATTTTGACATTGTACCTTGTATAAACAAAATAAAACATCTATTTTCAATATTTTTAAAATGCATTAAGAGAATCACCAAGGAGAAATGTTCCACATAAAGGAGGAGAAAGAGTAGGAAGGCAGAGTCCAAGGTGACTGAGTTCAGGTGTTCTTTCCAGAAGGAGAAAAAGCCTTGCCTAAAGCTGGCTCCGGTCACAGTTTTGGGGAATTTCCCACAATTCCATGTGAGGAGAAGCAGCATTATCTAATCCACACAGTGGCAAGTCTGGGCTCAGCTCCCCAGTGGTATACACATCGTCTCTTCCCTTCTTCTTCTCTTACTTTCTTTGCTGTTTTTGACATTTATTTCTAAAATCATGGGCCTAACCCCACCTCCTCATTTTATAGATGAGAAATTGAGGACTGGAGAAATTGTTCTGCCTGCAGCCATGAAGCTTGGTTAATGCCAGAGCTGGATCAGAGCAGGAGCTGGGACACTGGGCGCAGTGACTCACACCTGTGATCCCAGCACTTCAGGAGGCCGAGGCAGGAGGATTGATCGAGCCCAGGAGTTCAAGAACACCCTGGGCAACATAGTGAGACCCCATCTCTATAAAAAAAATTTTTTTCTTGAAGCAGTCTTGCTCTGTCACCCAGGCTGGAGTGCAATGGCGAGATCTCAGCTCACTGCAGCCTCTGCCTTCCAGGTTCAAGCAATTCTACCTCAGCCTCCCAAGTAGCTGGAACTACAGGCATGTGCCGCCACACCCTGCTAATATTTATATTTTCTTAGTAGAGATAGGGTTTTGCTATGTTGGCCAGACTGGTCTCAAACTCCTAATCTCAAGTGATTCACTCACCTCGGCCTCCTAAAGTACTGGGATTACAGGCGTGAGCCACGGCGCCCAGCCAAAATTTTTTTAAAAAACAAAAGTAATAAGAAGTGTAGGTGGGGCGGGAGGGGAGCAGTCCTGGCTGAAAACCAGCCACCAACTGCCCCTTGTACAGCCAGGGGGAAGAGGGAGCCACTGTGAGCATTTGGGAGATGGGGCATGGGCATAGTGCCCAATCCACATGTCATCAGACATTCTCAAAGTGCCATTTTTCACTGACTTCTTTTTTTGTGGGGGAGGGGACAGAGTCTCACTGTGTCACCCAGGCTGGAGTGCAGTGATGCAATCTTGGCTCACTGCAACCTCCGCCTCAAGCAATTCTCATGCCTCAGCCTCTGGAGTAGCTGGGACTACAGGCACAGGCACACACCACAACACCTGGCTAATATTTTTTTTTTTTTTTTTTTTTTTTTTTTTTTTGAGACTGAGTCTTGCTCTGTCGCCCAGGCTGGAGTGCAGTGGCACAATCTCGGCTCACTGCAAGCTCCGCCTCCTGGGTCCATGCCATTCTCCTGCCTCAGCCTTCCCGAGTAGCTGGGACTACAGGTGCCCACCACCATGCCCGCCTAATTTTTTGTATTTTTAGTAGAGCCAGGGTTTTGCCATGATGGCCAGGATGGTCTCTTGAACTTGTGAGCCCAAGCAGTCTGCCTGCCTCGGCCTCCCAAAGTGCTGGGATTACAGGCATGAGCCACCACACCTGACCATTTTTTTCACCGATATCTGCCTGCCTTCAGCTTAGATGCCTTCATCAAAATCAGAGGAGGCTTCTCCACGTGGCTGCTTGGGCTTCCTCACAGCACGGTGGGCTCAGGCTAGTCACACTGGCTGAAAGAACATAGAAACTGCCAGGCCCCTGACAGGCTGGTCCAGACACTGGCACGCATCACTTTTGTGGCATTCTATCCGTCGAAGCGAGTCACAAGGCTGGCCCAGGTTCAAGCGGCCAGGAATGATGAAAGGGAAGGAAGGAATCAACACAGGTCCTTTGGCACCCATCCACTGTACCTTTCAGGGCCATCAGGAAGTGCAATTGCCTTTCAGTCCTCAGCACTCAGTAAATGCCAGCAAATATTTGGGTGAATGAATGGGCAGAATGACCAGGAGGTCAGCATCTGCCAGGTGCTGGGAAGAGTCCGTCCTTTTTTATTTTTATGTTGAAATGGAAAGAGTACACAGAACTCTGAAGGGTGATGGGAGCACCGTATTCTAAATCTCAGCATCACACAATATACCCGTGTAACAACCTGTACATGTTCTCCTGAGTCCAAAATAAAAAAAGAAAGTTCTATAGCTGTGAGGCCTTCAGTCCCCACGTCTTCAGCTGCCACAAGTCTAAATGATTCACATCTCCTCCTCTTCTCTCCTTCCCTGCCCTACACATTTGCCTTGAAGAAAAAGGATTACTCTTCACCTTTTATATTTTGCCTTGATTTTTCTTGATCAAGAAATAAGACTTTTTTTTTGAGACAGAGTCTTGCTCTGCTGTCCAGGCTGGAGTGCAATGGTGCAATCTCAGCTCACTGCAACCTCCACCTCCTGGGTTCAAGTGATCCTCCTGCCTCAGCCTCCCAAGTAGCTGGGATTACAAGCGTACACCACCACACCTGGCTAATTTTTGTATTTTTGGCAGAGACAGTGTTTCACCATGTTGGCCAGGCTGGTCTCGAACTCCTGACCTCAGGTGATCCAACCGCCTCAGCCTCCAAAGTGCTGGGATTACAGGCTTGAGCCACCGTGCCTGGCAAGAAATAAGACTCTTAACTCCCCCCACCACTTTTTTAAAACCACTTACGTTCTTTATTCCCTTGTATAGATGCAGATTTCCATTTTCTTCCTGCCTAACTTTTTAAAATATATCTTGTGGTGTGACTTTCCCCGTTTAAACCCTTCTTCAGACATTAGGAAGTGGGAGAGCAGGGATCAAAAGACACCCTGTTTCTCACTGCTCACCCCCCTGTTCCCCAAGGACTTCTTCCTCTTGGCTGAGGCTGCCACCTCCTGGCTTGGAATTTCACAGCACAGAGCGGACTCCCCGAGTACTGCGGGTTTGTCTCACCCCAGGGCTGTGCTCCTTGCAGGCAGGACCAGCCCGACCCAAATCACAGCCTCCCCCACCTCACACTGCTAGGCACTAATCAGAACTCAATGTGTGCATATTTTAGGTAATATTAGGCACTATATTACCGGGGGATTTAATTGACACTTTACTTCCCTAAGTGACTGTAAATCCACCCATTCTAGTGGTGCTGTTCTTAGCTATTCAGGATGAAACACCTCCTCCTCTCCTGAAACCGTCCGTCCCTCATCCTGACTTGCAGCTCACAGAGAAAAGTGACATACCTGAGGCTCTCTGTCAATTACAAGGCTCCTCCTGGCGTGGGAGATGTCTATAGGGAAGACACCAGCGTTTGGGCTCCTCCCAATGACCCTGTCTCCAGCTGTGCTGCACGCACTGACAGGGAGCCGGAAAAGGTGGAGGAGATGCTAAGCCCAGTGAATCCTCTCCATCGAAGGATTCAGGAAGAAGAAAACTCATCTCAGCGCCATTTTACATATATATGCATTTATACTTCCTTGTCTGTTATATCTACACATTATATATGATTTGTATTTTGACATTGTGCCTTGTATAAACAAAATAAAATATATATTTTCAATATTTTAAAATGCATTAAAAGAATCACCAAGGATGGCCGGGCAGGGTGGCTCATGCCTGTAATCCCAGTACTTTGGGAGGCCGAGGCGGGTGGATCACCTGAGGTCAGGAAATTGAGACCAGCCTGGCCAACATGGTGAAACCCCATCTCTACTAAAAACACAAAAATTAGCCTGGCGTGGTGGTGAGCGTCTGTAATCCCAGCTATTTGGGAGGCTGAGGCAGGAGAATCACTTGAACTCTGGGGGTGGAGGTTGCAGTGAGCCGAGATCATACCCCTGCACTCCAGCCTGAGAGACGCAGCGAGACTCCAATTCAAAAAAAAAAAAAAAATCACCAAGGAGAAATGTTCCACACAAAGGAGGAGAAAGAATGGGAATGCAGAATTCCACTGGGGCTCCTCCATCCTGTTGGGGTGCCTCATCACCCACTGACACAGACGGGCTGACCTCCCCTCTCCCTGCTCTCCCCACGCGTGGGCACCTGGCCTGGGCGTGGCCTCCAGGGCCTCTCAGCTAGACTACAAAGCTGTTGAATACAGAGAATGAAGAGCACAGAACTCACAGGGCAGTGGCCAGCAGTGGCCTCAGAAGCTCTGACTGGCTGCTGGGCCTCCTGTTCTGGGCTCTCCAGGCGTCTTTAGGTCCTAACCATATTCCAAACCTAAGCCTCCCATTTTCCGGGATTCTATGAGCCCCTCGTATCTTTCCAATACATTTTTTTTTCTTTATAACAGATTCTGTTTTCATTACTTGTCACTGAAAAGTTCCTAGCTGATATGAAATTCGGTACCAGGAGTGGGTATTGCAAATTATGGAGAAGAGGGGAGATAAGGAGTGTCTGCGGCTGGTTATCTGCCTTAGGGACGAGAGAAAAGAGTGAATGTTCTGATGATATGCAGAGACAGGAATGGAGCGGCCCAGGGAATTCGGTAATTAGTTCGCCAGGAGGTGCCTGGGATGTCATGCCTGCTGCAAGCCTGGCTCTCAGAGACTATGTTGCGTCCATCCTGAAATCGTATGGATATGAGAAATCTGAGCCCATAGTGGGTAGCTGCTTTTAATGTCACTGAAAAACTTAGAGAATAAGAAGTTCAAATCTCTAAAGTCTGAATTCAAGCCACAGGCTGAAACCTAAAGACTGCCTAGAACAACGCGGAATTTCATTCCTTACAGATGCGAGGCCAGGATATCTGAAAACCCATCTTAAGAGTCTGAGCCTTTGGCTGGGCGCCGTGGCTCATGCCTGTAATCCAAACACTTTGGGAGGCCGAGGCAGGTGGATCGCTTGAGTCCAGGAGTTCAAGACCAGCCCAAACAACATGGCGAAACCCCTGTCTCTACAAAAAATACAAAAATTAGCCAGTTGTGGTGGCATGTGCCTGTAGTCCCAGCTACTCAAGAGGCTGAGGTGGGAGAACTGCTTGAGCCCAGGAGGTAGCAGTGAGCCGAGATCATGCCACAGCACTCCAGCCTGGATGACAGAGGAGACACAGTCTCCAAAAAAAAACAACAGTCTAAGCCGTCAAGTTGTTGGAAGAACATTAGCTGAATCCATGGCCCCAGCAGGTTTCCCAGCTGAAGGGAGAGCACTGATTGGAGAAGGGCGAGGTTCCTGTACTGGATTAAAAATGTAGGGGGACATTTGGAGGACTCACAGGATCCCCCACCCTCCCTTGTCCTCAGAAGCAGCCCTCTGTTCTGCCTGACAATGCTGCAACATTGCCTCCTGCTCGAGGGGGGCATCTTGCAAAAGGAAGTCTGTTCTGCTGACAATTTCCTCCCCCTGTCCCATTCTGCATGGGGAGAAAACTTTGCTGAGAATCCCAATCAGACCCTCAGGATCCCAGGAATCAGCCTGTTCCGTGGAAACAAGAGCTCCCCAAGGCTGGGCCGGGCCCTGCTGCAAGCACCTCCACCCCCACGTCCCACCTGCGGCCTCCTCACAGGCCAAGCCCGTAGCCAATGCCCAATGCCCCTGTCCTTCCTTCACAGTCTCCTACATCCAACTCACCTTCCAGAACCAGATCAAGTTTACCTTCTCCAGGAGCCTCTGTTGTTTCAGTTTTGGAGGGTTTTTTTTTTTGAGACAGAGTCTCGCTCTGTCGCTCAGGCTGGAGTGCAGTGGCACGATCTCCACTCACTGCAACCTCCGCCTCCCGAGTTCAAGCGATTCTCCTGCCTCAGCTTCCTGAGTAGCTGGGACTACAGGTGCGTGCCACCATGCCCAGCTAATTTTTATATTTTTGATAGAGACAGGGTTTCGCCATGTTGTCCAGGCTGATCTGGAACTCCTGATCTCAAGTGATCCACCCGCCTTGGCCTCCCATAGTGCTGGGACTACAGGCGTGAGCCACCATGCCCAGCCCCGGAGCCTTGGCTAATGACTCAGTTGTACAAAATCATTTGCCTCTGAGCCTTCATAACACTTATTATCGGTGCTATTCATGTGGCATCTGCAAAATACTATCTTTGTGCAGTGGAAAGAAGATAGAACTTAAAAGCCTGAGTGTCGAGCATCCATTCTACCCTTTGCTGAGCATCCATTCTACCCTTTGCTGGCCCTGTCACTTGGAGACACTACACACACGGACATTGCCTCATCTTTGTAGTGGGGATGACGGCACATGCACTCCCTTCCCAGAGGCGTGAGGGTCACAGGAGACCCTGGCGTCTGTCTCTCCCCTCGCTAGCCACTAGAGATCCTGACAGTTAAGCCTGGTACTAATCCTCAAGAAGTTTACAGCCTGGTCAAAAAGAGAAGCATACCGGAACAAATATGAAACAAAACCTTACACCACAAGCACACACACTAATGGGACACGAGCCCAGTAAAGGCAGAAATGGCTCCAAGGCCTGGAAGCTTGAGGAATGCAGGATGTGAGTTGGAAGGATGGGTGGAATTTAAATAAACGGGCAGGGAGCATTCTAAATGGTGGGGGGGGGCGGTGGAGGCAAAAACCCAAACAGGAAATTGAGCAACACGTTCAGGAAAGACAGAGCATGGCTGCTGGGCAGCCAGGTCAACCGGACGGCAAGGCAGGGGTTGGCCGGGGAAGCACTGCGCCGCCCCTGCATGCCCTGCATCCTCGGGTCCTGGGAGGGCTGCTCAGTAACTGGAAGGAAAATGAAACTGAAAAAGAGCAAGGGTCCCGTAGGATTGAACACAGTTGGTGAAACTTGGGCCGTCTGCCTCAAGTCCCCGCTTGGCAAAACCACTCCCTCCTGGTGGACGCCCTCACCATGAAGGTTAGTGCTTCTCTTTCTGAAGCTGTGTCTTCATTCCTCTGGGCAGAGAGCCAACAGTCCTAGTTACAGAAGTGTATAACTGGGTGCCATGGCTCACCTAGGGTCCCAGCTACTCAGGAATCTGAGGTGGGAGGATCGCTTGAGCCCAGGAGCATGAGGCTGCAGTGAGCGGTGATCGCGTCACTGCGCTCCAGCCTGGGCGACAGAGTGGGACTCTTGTCTCCAAAATAATTCAAAAATGGGGTGTAATCTTCAAAATCTCCTTGGAGTTAATGCCACCCAGAGGGTACTCAAATTGCTGTCAGTGTCCCGGGGCTGCAGTGGCTGCAGGTGTTTTCCAAGTGTTCTGGGAAGCCCTGGTGGCTGCAGAGGCACCTGAGGGGCCACCACAGGCGGGAGCGGAGAAGGAACTCTGGGTGCCCATCCCCCTCCTGAGTGACCACAGCGGCTGCATTTGTTAACTGGAAGTAAAATTAAGCCTAAAGAATTCCATGGCTAAGAACATCTGAAAGCCTTCCATGCTATTAAATATTTATTTTATTGTTCATCCTGGACTCCATAGGCAGATGCTTTAAAAAAACAAACAAACTGATCTTTTGGAAGAGTTCTAACTCCAACTCTTCACACAGTGGTAGTGGAAATACTATGGGTTTGGGATTGAACTTGAGTTTTCATCCAAGCTCTGCTCTGTGATACTGAGCACAGTGGGCCCAGCCCCGTGACTCTTTAGAGCCTGTTTCTTCATCTGCAAATGGCGGCTGTCATCTGCCTCCCAGGTTTGCTGTGAGGACTGAAGGAATTCACATACACAAAGGCCTGATAGCGTCTACCTGCAGGAGGCTCCTAATAAACGTTGAGTTCACTTCCTTAATGAGGTATATTTACTTACATGGTAATCAGCACCTGCCCCTTCCTTCGCAAATACATTCCCACTTTTTTAGGATTTATTATTTCACCCAGCCGTGTGCATCATGGAAAGCTGACCTCATCCCAAGCTCCAGGAAATAAAACCCTGATGATTTGAAGCCATTCTTCCTTACTATGATTGGCTTAGGAGTGGGCAGGTAGCCCAGTTCTGACCAACAATATGTGAGTCAGCTGGAGAAGCCTGTGGGAAAGGCTTTCTTGCGCCTCTTCCCAGACAAAACCAGGTCCAGCTGCTTGTTCTCATGGTCCAATAACAAGCTGCAGACAGAGTGGGGAAGAAGGGAGTTTATTTCTGGTTACAGGGAGAAGGTCAGAGTAACTCACCAGACTAATTTAAAATTATAAGTTTTTTTTCAGTGCTTATACACATTTAAACCATATGCCTATGTGCAGGAGTACACCTCCAAGCTGAAGTATATTCCTCTGTTTAATCTTTCACTAGGGTCTGGGGTCTGGAAAATTACTTCAGAGCCTTGAAACAATTACTTCATTTTTTTTCTTTCTTATTTTAGAGGGAGGGTCTCACTATGTTGCCCAGGCTGGTCTTGAACTCCTGGGCTCAAGCGACCCTCCTCCCTCAGCCTCCCAAAGTGCTGGGATTGCGGGCGTGAGCCGCTGCTCCTGGCCCAATTACTTAATTTAAAGTGGATCATGGTACAAGGTCCACAAGAACGCCTCCATTATTTTAATTAAACTCTAAGGTCTGGGAGAAAGCCCAGGTGGGGTCTTAATCGACTTGTTTTTACACTCTAGCCTTTGTATTAAGGCACCAGTTTCTCCAATTTTCCTCGTTTAATTTATATATTCCTCAGAGTTATAGTAAGGTGTTGGTGAGGCTGGCTGCTCTGGTTGCTAAGAGAGACCCGGCCTGCCACACTCCTAAGAGACACAGAAGACCAGCCTACCCTTCCCTTGCCTCCCGTGACACTGCCCTGCAGGTGGCTGGCCAAGAGAAGCCTGCCCGGCGACGCTGAGGCACCGAACATGAGCAGGGGAGGAAGGAATGCCTGGGAGCAGCTGAGCCGAGCCCCTGCCACCAGCCTCCTCCGCACGCCCGTGGAATCAGCACTTTCTGCTTCCCGCCCCTGAGAGCCTTGCTCTGGGGCCACTCACAGCCAATTAAGTGGGGATGTTGTAAGAGACTCTAAAATACGTGGAGCTGGCTGAGGACGCGGGACCGACCCCATTATGTGTGTGTGAGGCTGATTAAAGTGTTACCTGTCACCAGGTGTCGCCAATTCTTGGTGAAGCTCTCTCCATGTGACCTCCATGCTACTTATTTTTTATTTTATTGTTCATCCTGGACTCCAAAGGCTGATGCTATTTTTTTTTTTAATGTGATCTTTTGGAAGAGTTCTAACTGCAACTCTTCACATAGTGGTAGTAGAATATACCATGGGTATTAAAAACTAAAGCATTTCTTAATCTGTGGGGTCCAGATTAGGAAGACATGTATTAGGAAAATGATTACTTTAAAAAAAATAAAAAATTCAGGCCAGGCATAGTGGCTCACGCCTGTAATCCCAGCACTTTGGGAGGCTGAGGCAGGTGGATCACCTGAGGTCAGGAGTTCAAGACCAGCCTGGCCGACATGGTGAAACCCCGTCTCTACCAAAAATACAAAAATTAGCTGGTTGTGGTCACATATGCTTGTAATTCCAGCTACTTGGGAGGCTGAGACAGGAGAATCGCTTGAACCCGGGAGGCAGAGGTTGCAGTGAGCGGAGATCTCACCACTGCACTCCAGGCTGGGTGACAGAGTGAGGCTCTGTCTCAAAAAAAAAAAAAAAAAAGAAAAGAAAAAAAAATCAGAACCACTGAATTGTACATTTAAAAAAGGAAGAAAAGAAAAATCCAGGATGTCAGCACTGTGCTGGCCGCTTCCTGGGGCCCTCAGTGAGTTCCTTTAAAAGACAGGCTTAGGGTGACAGAGGCCAGCCTGGAAATGGACAGGAAACGCCAGCCTTTCCGCTGCGGTCCAACTTGGGCTGACGCCCTCATCGCAACAGGAGAGCCCTGCAGGGTTGAGGCAGGAGGGTGACCGGCGTTAGTCTTCATTGTAAGATTGCAGGTCCCTCTACATGGGAGCGAGTTGGGCCAGGGCAGAGGCACAGAGCAACATAGACTACAACTGGTCCAGGAGGCAGAACGGTGGAGGGTCGCGGGCGGGTGGGTGGTGCACCCTGGAGGCCGCGTGGAGCTTCCCAGTGAACTGGCATGAAGAAAAGTATCACAGCCCGATGGTGGTGCTGTTTCTGGAGGTGGGGAAGGGTGCGTGGAGGAGCCAGCCAGGCTCGGAAGGAAATCAGGGGCTGCATGTGGGACATGGCAGGGCTGAGATGTCACGAAGACAGCAAATGGAGTGATCGACTGGCGACCTTGGCGTTTGAGTGGGAAGCCCCCCTCCCTCCACCTAACCTACCTCTCAGCCCACGCCACTAGGGATAAAACACACACAGGTCCCCAGTGAGGAGGATCGCAGGGGACGGCACCTCCTGGGCCCTCATGGAGAACCTGTCCCTTAAGTAGGCCAGGCAGAGGGAGAGCCCCTGCCGGCTAAGGGAGCCCTGCCCCCCACACCAGCCCAGCTGTGCAGAGGTGCCTTGGCCAGGGGCGTGCGTGTAGCACTGTCTTCATGTCTGGGCAAGGAGCTGGAGGAACCCTGCCTGCCTCGGTTCAGACGTCTCTACCGCACCCACTCACTGCAAATGTAGAGTGATCAGCTTCCAGGCTCTCGGTGTACCCCACATTGCTAAAGCCAGGGGTTCAGGGTGACTAGGAAGGACTGAAGGGCAAGGATCAGACTTGAAAAACATGTTAAATTGCTAATAGTCTGATTCTAGGGGTGTCAAAGTCCCTTTGTGATACAGTGAGTTGCTCCCAGACACAGACCAAATGCCACTACAGGACGGAAGCTGGGCAGGCAGCGTGACAGTGACCAGCTTCCCAGGCAGGAAGGTCCCACGGGGGTGCTGCACTGCCTTAAGTTTATTAAGCTGTGTCTGAGTCCACCATGCGACGTCTCTGCCCTCATGCCTGGGCTGCTAAAGGAAAAATACCAGCTAAAAGGATGGTGTTTGATGTCAACTGGGAGGGTGCTGCCCGGCACACCTGTGTTTTCCGTCACCTTCCACTCCATTCCCTTCTATGTCCATCCCAAACGCTAAACCCAGCACTTTGGGAGACTGAGGCAGGTGGACAGCTTGAGCCCAGGAGTTTCAGACCAGCCTGGGCAACAGAGCGACACCTCATCTCTACAAAAAATAAGCAAAAATTAGCCGGGCATGGTGGCATGCACCTGTAGTCCCAGCTACTTGAGGGGCTGAGGTGGGAGGGTCACCTGGGCCTGGAGGTCAAGGCTACAGTGAACTGTCACTGCACCACTGCACTCCAGCCTGAGTGACAGAGTAAGACCCTGTCTCAAAAAAACCAGAAAATTATTGGGTGAGAGCAACCTAAACTTCCTCCCTAACCACTTACAACGTACCCCTTTCTCCTTCATCTCTCCCGTCCCAATCCCTCTCATCTGGCTTCCATCTCTCCTCTCTGAATTTGCTTCCTCTCAACACATAACCCTGCACAAACCTCTCTCGTTTTAAAAGCAAAAACCCCTCCCTAAGGCCACGTCATCCCCTATCCACTTCTTGCCTCTTGCCAGCCTTGCTTTCTGAGAACTAGTCTACGTGGTGTCCGTATCTTCACCTCCCACTGGTATTTTATGGTTCTATCATACAGACACATAGTTTAGAGCCAACAGTTATGTAAGACACCTACCAAAAAGCTCCTCCACCTGCCCGTTCCCCCTCCCAAAAGGAAACTTTTAGAAATCTTTCTGCTGAGTGTCTCGGTGTGTGTTATGCATCTCCAAGATATCTCTAAATGATGGGCTCACATGGGCTTCTGCTTCCATGTTTGAGTTTCAGGCACTGTGACTGACTTCCTGCCGCAGAGGCTAAGATTCGGCTCGTTCACTCCACATGTGCACACAGCTCCTACCTGCAGAACACGCCCACCCTTATGAAGGCCATGAAAGCAGGTACACTCCACTGAGCTGGTGGTGGGGGGGGTCAATTACAGTTCTCTCCTACACAACCTGTCGCCTTCCAGAGGACTAATCATTGCCTTTTTCCCCCCAGGCTACGTCCTGCGCTCTGTCACCCAGGCTGTGGTGGTCAGTGGTGCAATCATGGCTCACAGCAGCCTCAACCTCCCAGGCTCAAGCCATCCTCCTGCCCCAGCCTCCCAAGTAGCTGGGAACAAGGCATGCGCCACCACACCTAATTTTTTATACTTTTTGTAGAGATGGGGTCTGCCTATGTGGCCCAGGTTGGTCTTGAACTCCTGGGCTCAAACAATCCTCCCACCTCAGCTTCCCAAAGTGCTGTGATCACAGGTGTGAGCCACCACGCCCGGCCAATGTGGGCCTATTTTCACCCATTGTCCTGGGCATTTAATGAGTCATTTCAATCCAGAAACCCTTACCATCAGTTTCAGGTAATTTTCATAATTAAAAAAAATGTTTCGGCCAGGTGCGGTGGCTCACGCCTGTAATCCCAGCACTTTGGGAGGCCGAGGTGGGCAGATCACGAGGTCAGAAAATCGAGACCATCCTGGCCAACACAGTGAAACCCCATCTCTACTAAAAATACAAAAAATTAGCCGGGCATGGTGGCATGTGCCTGTAGTCCCAGCTACTCAAGAGGCTGAGGCATGAGAATCGCTTGAACCCAGGAGGTGGAGGTTGCAGTGAGCCGAGATCAAGTCACTGCACTCCAGCCTGGGCAGCAGAGAGAGACTCCGTCTGAAAAAAAATTAAATTTAAAAATTCCTTAACTCTGTTGTCCATTTTCTCTTCCTGCAATTCCCATTCACAGATGCTCAACTTCTTAAATTGGTTCCCTAGTTTTTTTTTTCTTTTTTTTTTTTTTTTGAGACAGGCTCTCGCTGTGTCACCCAGGCTGGAGTGTGGTGGCACAATCTCAGCTCACTGCAACCTCCACCTCCCGGGCTCAAGCCATTCTCCAGCCTCAGCCTCCTGAGTAGCTGGGATCACAATCGTGCACCACCACACCCAGGTCATTTTTTGTAGATGGGTTTTGCCATGTTGGCCAGGCTGGTCTTGAAGTCCTGAGCTCAAAGCGATCCACCTGACTCAGCCTTCCAAAGTGCTGGGATTACAGGCATGAGCCACCACGTCCAGCCTCTAACTACTTCTCAATCTTTGTTTTTGCTCTACTTTCTAGATTCTCAACTTATTATTTTAACAGTTCTACTGGGTTTCTTTTCATATTTTTTGCTCCAAAATTTTATTTTATTTTTATTTTTTGAGACGAAGTCTTACTCTGCGTCCCAGGTTCAAGAGATCCTCCTGCCTCAGCCTCCTGAGTAGCTGGGATTACAGGCACATACCACTACACCCGGCTAATTTTTGTATTTTTAGTACAGGGTTTCACCATGTTGGCCCAGGCTGGTCTCGAAATCCTGATCTCAGATGATCCACCCGCCTCAGCCTCCCAAAGTGCTGGGATTACAGGCGTGAGCCAATGCGCCCGGCCCCAAATATTATTTTATACATATCTATCCTGCTACTCTATGGAATGCACTACCTCCTCCATTCTCTGAATGTGTTAAAGATATTTAGATGTTTTCTTCTCCCTGTACAGACAGTTTGCTCCAAGTTGATTCTTTGGTTTTGACCTCTAGCCTTCATCTTAGGGGCCGGGTCATCTTCAGATGTTTGATGATCCTGATGCCTCCAGGATCACTGCTGCCTCCTTCCTGTTGTCTTTGCCCTTAAGGGTTAAAACACACACACACATACACACACACACAACTTTTACTGCCCTTACAGTATGGCTTCAGAAAGAAACCATAAATGAACACATACTTCTTAGCCCTCAAATTTTTCACTCACATTTTAGGCCACAGTGGTCGGCTTCTCACCTAACTGAAACTGATCAGCTAATGTCAACTGACCTTGATAGTGCTGGTTAAACACCTGCCCACCCTTGTTTATTTGGTCTATTTACTGCACTGGATGCTGAAGATCCCCTTTTCCTGAACTCCCTCCTCTCCGGAGCTCAGTGGTGCTCCATCACGAGGCTCCTCTGGATCAGCTGTCGCTCTTCTTAAACCCTCTTCCTCTCTTCACCCCAAGCCTCGTGTCCGCCGGCTTTGCTTCTCGGCCCTCTGCTCTTCTCATTGTCTAAACTCTCCTGGATTAACTCGGCGAAACCCTTCAAACTGCACCACCACCTACACACCGACAACTCTATAAAGTCCCCAGGTCCAGCCAGGCCCTTTGCTGCAGGACAGATGTGTTCACCCAACAGCCTCCTAGACGGTTCCACTCAACATGCTGAAAACCAAACTGATCACTGCGTTTACACAAACCTGCTATAGCTCCCATTTTCCCTGTCTCAGTGAAGATGACCTCTACCACTGAGTGTCCCTATCATGATCCCAGTACTCCAGAAATCCGACCGATTCTACCTTCTAAACATCAAGAGCAGAAGTTTCCCAACTTAGCATGCATGAGCATCACTTGTCAGGCTTGTTATGTACGAACAGCTGGGCCTCAACCCTGGAGTTTCTGATCCTGTAGGCCTGGTGTGGGGACTGAACATTTTTATTTCTAACAAGTTCCCAGGTGATGTTGCCGCTGCTTGCTGGAACCACACTTTGAGAACCACTGATCTTCGCATCCGTTCCCTCCTCACCAGGCCCCACAGGCGCTGTGGTCCAGCCCATCTGGGGTCATTTCTTGCTGAGATTATGATCCTGTTAGCCTTGTAATTTATCTGACCTCCTTAAAACATTATTGTTATTTGAGACAGTGTCCCGCTGTCACCCAGGCTGGAGTACAGTGAGCTGTGAGGTGACCACGGCTCACAGCCTCAACCTTGGGCTCCAGCAGTCCTCCTGCCTTGGCTGGATTCAGTGCTGGGGTTACAGGTGTGAGCCACTGCTCCCGGCCAAAGTCTCATTTTTGATGCCTCAGTTCCCACCCAAGACATCACGTCTCATACTCTGCTTCCTGTGTCTTGTGAACAGTGACAGTGCTGTAGGAAAGAGTAAGCTGGAAAAAGAGAAGGTTCAGAACGACAGTGCTGACGCAGACATCACACAGCGGTATGCCAGTGCTATGGTGCCTGTTTAATTGAAATCTTGTAATAAAAGTTTAAATACATAAATTTTTTTTTTTTTTTTTATCAAAAGAACATCCCCCACTTCCCTGACCAGATACATCCAGAGGGGAGGCAAGTGGAGACTGGCTGTCTGTAGGGAGTGGAGAAATGGCAGGTCCAGCTTGGGCTGGTGTCCTCTTCCTCAGAAAGTGCTGTGGGTGAACCCAGAGTCTCAGGGAGCAGAAGCCCCCCTCGCTGGCTTTCTTCACGCGGGGTCCTCGGCAAGCTGCTCTGCACTGCGGAGAACGTGCGCCTTGTCCTCAGAAGACGAGGAAGAGCAGGGCCTCATGCCGGGGCAGTACGATGTTCTCCACAGTGCGCTCCATGGCGCGCACCTGCTCCGGGGAGGCTGTCAGGAACGCCAGGGGCCCGATGCGCTGCTCCGCACAGGAGTGGCAGAGGTAGCCCCCCTTGTTTTCCTTCCTGTTGCTCTGTGGTGATGGACAAGAGAGAGAGCTAAGGGGAACAACCAAAGAACATGGATTTTCCAGCAAAAAGCATGGAGTTATCATCACAGCTGCCCAGGGACAACGCATTTGGATTCTGATGTTTTCAGAGGGGTGCACATCCTCAGAGTAACACCTCCCACAGCACCACCAACTAGGTGGCCTCAACACCCCCAAATTCCCTGAGCTCAGAAACAGTCATTTATCCAGTCAAGATAAAGAACCAAGAAAAGCTGCGCTGGGACCCCAGGGAACAGCTCTCTCTCTAAGCGTGTATCACAACCCAGCCTCCCAGACCTGCGGCTTCAGCACAGCCAGGCAGCATCACGTGCCCTGACCTCTGACCCTGGGACAGACCACACACCTCTTGTGCCTCTCATATGAAAAGCCCCTAATAAAGGATCACACAGCTCTCTCTTATCTCCTCACCTACAACCCAGATAAGCACAGAGCTCACAAGCAAAAAATGCAAATGGCTGAATTAAGTTCCACAGACAGCAGACGTACATAGGTGATGGGCAGCTTCTTCATGGTAAGGACGGTGTCAACAGGGATGGCATTGTTGCACTGTCCCACGCAGCAGCGCACCACGCCTGTTTTTAAGACGTTGCTTGTCAGCTCTGCTTGCAAGAAGTACTCCTGAGAAAGAAAGAGCGAGAAAGAGAGTCATGGCGACACCTCCGTTAGGGTCTACTGGAAACACTGATAGCGGCGGCTCTGTGAGAACCCTTTAGATGCACTGTAAGTCCCAGAGAGAAAAACCCCGCCTAACCCGTTCTCCCTTACTTCCTCTAACTTTTCCCTGCCTCCAAAGCTATCGACAGTCCAACTGACAGTCCAATTGCTTTTTAAATATATATATATTTAACAGATAAACATGCAAAACTATTGCCTGTAATGACATTTCCAGAATATTTCTGGATTTTATTTTATGCTAAGGTATCCCCAGCTCAATCTTCAGAAAACTATTGTGTATTCACATTATAAGCCAGGCAGGCAACACAGAGGACATGAAGAAAACTTGCCCCAAACATCCCTGCGTATTTCCACCGTCCCGTGCTGCTGGCTGTGCTAGTGAGCAAATGACAGCCTCGCTAAGCCTGTGTCTTTATCCATAAATGCAGATGGCACGGTGCCTGCTTCAGGTGGCTGCTGAGGAGAAGAAACCCTTCAATGCATGCAAAGCACTCACGCCTGGCACGCAGGGAGCACCCAGAGGAAGCACTAGTGACCTCCCAGGCTGGAAACACCACAAGGACAGGGCACTGTCAGCTTCGCTGCTGCCCTGTGGGGCTCCACATCACAGACTGATATGCTAGCAGGACCGCACACATCTGCTGCCCAGGAAAGGACGGTTTCGTATTTTCTGGATTATGACCAGCTATTGATCTACTTATTCTACAATCTGTAACCTACGTTTTGATTTATTTGGTCTTTTCTCTTAGACGGCCTGCCTACCAGCTATGAAAAAGAACAGAAAACCACCAGGCAAACACTCCAGTTATGGCCAACAAGTACTAACAGCTGACGAGGTGAAATCCTGTCTGAAGTCACAGATTTTGCTGAAGTCCCTTGGACTGTCATCTCAATTTCCTTCCCGAGAGACAGCCAAGACCATGAACCTGGCGAGGTCCCTCCAACCCACGGTGAAATAGCTTCTCGTTTACACGTGTCCAAGGACACAGGTCTCCTTTTATAGATGTCTAATTTACATGAATGTTACGCTTCTGGCTTCCTCCTCACCTAGGTTTTCTAAAATGCTGTAGAGGACTCAGTCACAGCGCTCTCTTGTATTTCATTTACCCATTCCCTTGCTGTGGTTACTCGGTTGTTTCCAAACTATTTCCAACAATGCAGCAATGAACATCCTGTACCTGACTCCCTGTCCACTCCAGAAGTTTCTCCAGGGCTAGGCTCTCAAGCCGTTTTTGACGCAGTTACCATTATAATGCTATACATACGCACATATGTAAGAAACACACATGGAAGAAAAGTTTCACAAAACATGACTTAACCTAACATGCAGTGTTCTCTGATTTCTTTAGATTTTATGCCATTTAACTCTTTTTAAGCCTCTCATAACCCACCAGATTAACTGTTTTTATTTATATAAATTTAAGGGGTGGGGGTCACACCTGTAGTCCCAGCACTTTGGGAGACTGAAGTGGGAGGATCACTTGAGCCCAGGAGTTCGAGACCAGCCTGGGCAACATGGCGAAACCCTGTCTCTACCAAAAATACAAAAATTAGCTAGGCATAGTGGTGCACACCTGTAGTCTCAGCTACTCGGGAGGCTGAGGTTGCAGTGAGTTGAGATCGTGCCACTGCACTCCAGCCTGGGCAACAAAGCAAGACCCTGTATCTAAACAAATAAACAAAAAGAATCTAAGATTCTGTGAGACCAAGAAGCTGTCTTTGGCCAGACATAGTGGCTCAAGCCTGTAATCTCAGCAATTTGGGAGGCCAAGGCAAACGGATCACTTGAGGTCAGGAGTTTGAGACCAGCCCAGTCAATATGGGTGAAACCCCATCTCTACTAAAAATACAAAAATTAGCCAGGCATGGTAGCACACGCCTGTAATCCCAGCTACTCTGAGGCTGAGGCCTGAGAATCGCTTGAGCCCGGGAGGTGGAGGTTGCGGTGAGCCGAGCAAGATGGCACCACTGCACTCCAGCCTGGGCTACAGAGAGAGACTCCATCTCAAAAAAAAAAAAAAACAAAAAAAAAAACCTGTCTTTGAAACATAACTTCATGTCACTTAACACCTCAACAATGTAATAATTTCCTTCACTTTCCCAAAACTTAAAGAAACAAATGAACAAAATGGCTTCTGGTGATTCTATTAGCTATATTTTCTAAGGGGGAGGGGTCAAAGAAAAAGAAGGTTGCCCTACTCTTGGGAGATAAAGGGGCTTATCGTTCTAGGCAGCGCAGGAAGCAATGGCTCGCTTTTTATCTCCAAAACACCCCCGTCCGTGGCTCCACTATTTTTAACACGCTTTCCTAGCCTCTGAATTACTGCCCAACTCGGGATCTTCATTATCCCCATGGCCTTCCCTCCTGGGCAGAGACTGGACTCGACACTTCTGAAACAGGATATCCCCAAATTTATTCACAGGCTGTGATCAACAACAACAAAAAAGGCTGGACATGGTGGCTCACGCCTATAATCCCAACACTTTGGGAGGCCGAGGCGAGTGGATCACTTCAAGTCAGGAGTTTGAGACCAGCCTGGCCAACATGGTGAAACCTCGTCTTTAACAAAAAAAAAATACCAAAAAAAATTAGCCAGGTATGGTGGTGTACACCTGTACTACCAGCTACTTGAGAGGCTGACACAGGAGAACAGCTTGAACCCAGGAGGCCGAGGTTGCGGTGAGCCAAGATCACACCACTGCCCTCCAGCCTGGGCGACAGAGTGAGACTCTGTTTTTTAAAAAAAAAAAAAAAACAGCAGAGTGCCTCCACTTCTAACAAGGTCTTACAGCCTTAAAAAATCTGTTCCCACAAATAGGCAGTTTTTCTGGGACTTCCTCGCAGGACCCCTGAGGGCAGACAGCCCACCCCAGTCTCAGTAATGGGGAAGTATTTCTCTAGATTCTGTATTCTTTTCTTCTATGGGGAAAACAAAATGCATGCAGCAACCAACTGACAACCTTCCAATCAGCTTTAAAAAGTCTACTTCACTTTTTTGTTTGTTTGTTTTGAGACAGAGTCTCACTTTGTTGCCCACACTGGAGTGCAGTGGCACGATTTCAGCCTACTGCAACCTCTGCCTCCCGGATTCAAGTGATTCTCCTGCCTCAGCCTCCTGAGTAGCTGGGATTACAGGCATACGCCACTACACCCAGCTAATTTTTGTATTTTTAGTAGAGACAGGGTTTCACCATGTTAGCCAGGCTGGTCTTGAACTCCTGACATCAAGTGATCCGCCCTCCTAGGCCTCCCAAAGTACTGGGATTACAGGTGTGAGCTACTGCGCCGGGCCTATTTCACTCTTATGCATACAACTGGTGGGACTCTAAAGTGATAACAATCTCCATGAAAAAATTGGCAACATCTAGAAAAGTCACACTTGGCCAGGTGCAGTGGCTCATGCCTGTAATCCTAGCACTTTGGGAGGCTAAGGCAGGGCAGATCACTTGAGCTCATGAGTTTGAGACCAGCCTGGGAAACAGACAAAACCCCGTCTCTACAAAAAATACAGAATTAGCCAGGTGTGGTGGCACACACCTGTAGTCCCAGCTGCTCGGGAGGCTGAGGTGGGAGGATGGCTTGAGCCTGGGAGGCGGAGGTTGCAGTGGGCCAAGATTGTGCCGCCATATTCCAGCCTGGGTGACAGAGCCAGGCCTTGTCTCAAAAACAAAACAAAACAAAACAACAGAAAAGTCACACTTGCATTTATCTTTACCCAGCAATTCCACTTCTAGAAATGCATGCTGAAGATGCACTGGCAAAAACAGAAATGACCTGTGCACAAGATTGTGCAATGCAGCATTATTAATGAAAGCAAAAGGCTGGAAGTGACCACGTCCATGAGCGAGAACGGCATAAATCACAGTGCGTCAACACAGAACACTATGCAGCTGACCAAGAGGCGAGAGAGCTCTGTGAGCTGATAAAGAGGGATTTCCTAATTTGGGTAGGACAACAAATAAAAGAATAAAAGGGCAAAAAATAAAAGAGTAAAAAATAAATAAAAGAGTGATTCCCATGGCTTCTAAGTGACAAAGCAAAGTACACAACAGTGTATCTGAAATGCTACCTTCTGTGGAAAAGGAGAATATGAAAATACCTACGAATTTGCTAATACTTGCATAAAGAAATACTGAAGGATTAATCGCTAATTGTTTAAAATAACTACCAATGGTGGAGGCAGAGAACAGTCTGAAGTGAACAGGGAGGTAATGAGACTTCTCTTATCACAAAGTTTTGATCTTTTCTTTTGAGACAGGGTCTCACTCTGTCACCCAGGCTGGAGTGCAGTGGCACAATCTCAGCTCACTGCAATCTCCGCCTCCTGGGTTCACGCGATTCTCCCACCTCAGCCTCCTAAGTAGCTGGGGCTACAGGTATGCACCACCATGACTAGCTAATTTTTCTGTATTTTTTGGTAGAGACAGGGTTTTGCCATGTTGGCCAGGCTGATCTCTAACTCCTGACTTAAAGTGACCTGTCTGCCTCAGCCCCGCAAAGTGCTGGGATTACAGGGGTGAGCCACTGTGCCCAGGCGCAAGGTTTTGACTTTGAAAACATTAACAGGCCTTACACATCAAGAAAGATCATTAAATCAAAAAGAAGCAAAGCAACCCCTGTAGGTATTATGAATAAACTACATGTCTAACTGCAAATTAAGTTGGTAATAAAACCACAAAAGCAAAAAGGACTTACTTTAAGTGACTTCAGAACATGATATTTTGACTAATAAATACATCATTCATGGAGAAATGGAGCTGTTAGGAAATCTTCAAGTCCAGTCAGTATTCCATTAATACTGGCATTATTTTGAATATTATTTTTAAATACATAGAATAGTATCAATAAGTAATAAATACTATTAGGAACCAAGATTTCAGTGTATGAGAAAAGATTCAAGTGTGAGAAAAGAAGTAAAATTCCTTTCGTGTTAAATGTGAATTAGATTATGGAACACAATTTATGATGGCTGAACGTGTGAAGGGCCAAAGCCTCTGACAATGCAGATACGGTGCAGCTTTTGAAACCCAGGAGAATGAAGAGAACATGTGTAAACAGTATCATTTTTCAGCACTTACTGATGGTGCTGCATACCTGGTTAAAAAGAAAAAAGAAAAAGGTGCCGTTGTGCAACAAAGCAAGGTAATGCGTATCTGCTGAGATGGCAGTTACCCTCAGAAAGGAGGGAGGGTGCTAGGATGGCCAGGGGCCACCAGGACAGCTCCGTGATGGCTGGCAGATCCCATCTTCTAATCTGGTGGATGCTCACAACATCATCATTTTAAACTGCTATATGCTGTTTTATATACTTGTGTTATATTTAACAACAAAATGTTGAAATTTGCCTGGTGTCACACCTATAATCCCAGAACTTTGGGAGGCTGAGGTAGGAGGATCACTTAAGCCCAGGAGTTCAAGACCAGCCTGGGCAACATAGTGAGTGAGACCCTGTCTGTACAAAAAAACAAAACAAAAAAAAAACCAGCCAGGTGTGATGGTGCATGCGTGTTCCCAGCTACTTGGGAGGCTGAGGTGGGAGGACTGTGCCTAAGCCCAGGAGGTTGATGCTGCAGTAAGCCATGATCGTGCCACTGCACTAAAGCCTAGGCAACAGAGTGAGAGCCTGTCTCTTTGAAACAAATAAAGTTTAAAAACTGGGATTGGGATTATCAGTATGAACCACTGTTTTTTTTTCTTTCTTTTCAAAAATACACATTTCCTAGCTGTGCCTCTTCAAAAGATGAGCAATCAGCATCACTAACGGGGAAAAACTAACCTACTCCTAAGGAGGCTGTGAGCCTCCTCATGTGACGAGGCAAAGCACGAAGCCCTCTCCGGCCTCCCATGGGGCACGCCTGCCAAGACTCAGGCTTGAATCGAATCAAGCCTCTACGGCTAACTTCCAGTTACTGGAAAGCCAGGACAGGTAATGATGGCAGAACAAGTTACACAACCACACCGGGAAGCAAACCAAGAATGGGGACGCTCTGTAGGACGAATGACCCAGTTTATGCAATGAGACAAGAGCATGGGAAAAGCAGGGAGGGAGTCCCGTACAGCTCTCTATTTAACTTAAGAGACAAGCAACCAAATGTTGGTTTGGACTCTGACTTGAACAAATCAACTGTAAAAAGGCATTTCTGAGACAATCATAAAAGTATAATTATGGATCGGGTAGTAGAGGCCACATATGATAACATTTATAAAATACGAAAATGGCATGGTAGTTATGGGGAAAAAAGTACATATTTTTTGGAGATGTGTACATATAGGTATGATTTGTATATGAATGTTCAGTGTATTGCTTTCTTTACTTTTTAATGTCTCAAAATTTTCATAAGCAAAAACAAAAAGTCCTGTGTAGCCCATGTTGTGAGATGATATCACTGCTCTGTAATACCCTGCACAGTTCTACCAATTGACAATGTGGTTTTGTGACAGGCCTAACCACTTCTGTAACACGACTTCCATGAGAAAACCATACTGGAGGGTCTAAAAAAGTACTTATAAACCAAAGTTTATACAAAAATGTTTGTATAGGTAGAGACTATTTGTACATAATGATTTATTCTGCTTAACTCCTGGGGGTACTGGTTTAGAGATTTTTTAAAGTCACACTTTTCTTTAAACCAGAGGTCAGCAAACTACACGTGGGCCACATCCAGACAATGGCCGTTTTTGTGAATTAATTTTACTGGAACACAGCCATACTTGTTCACTAATGTACTGTCAACAGGGGCTCTCGCACTACAGCAGTGGGGCTGGGTAGCTGCAACAGAGATCATGTGACTTGCAGAGTCCGAAATCTTTACTGCCTGGCCCTTTACAGAAAAAGTCTACAGACGATCCATGTGCTTTAGTGGCTAAAGATGCAACGAAAGAAAAAGGGCTTCAGTTCTAAGCTCTGACGCTTAAGCTGTTGCACTCGGTGAAGCCCAGGTGAAAAGCTGTTCTGGGAAAAATGCATCAGATTTCAAATTCTGGAAACATTCCTATGGCCAAGTCAGCCTACCTAAGAGAGGCCTGGAGGAAAAATGACAAAGGAGGCATGAAAAATGGGATACACATGCAAGCTAATCAGTTTTATGCAGGAAACCTTTGCCCTGTGATGTGTCATGTAGAGTATTTATTTGCAAAGCTTCTCTCTTTTAAGTTTTGATATTATCTTCCTCAAAATCCTATTCGTTCACTTTCTTGTCCATCTCCTCGCCTGGATGGGCTCTATGAGGGCAGGAATTTCCCTGCCCACTGTTATGCCCCAGTACCCAGAAAGGTGCTTGGCAAGTGTTAGGCCCTCAATAAATATTCCATTATGAGCATCAGGGTTCTACTGCACTTAACACCTCTGAGAGTTGAATATCATTTACTCAAAAGTGGTGACCGCCCACCCTGCCTGCACCCTGTGGTTCAACCCCAGAGCACATAGGGCAGTACGGCGCGGCTCACCCCACGAGAGTAGGCAATATGGCACTGAGAATAAACCATCCTGCTACACACAATCTTTGTTCTGGAGACAGCTAAGCAAGAAAGAGTATTTATATTAACTTTTACACTTAAGTTTTAGGTTTCAGGCTTAAATATCTTGGGTTCAGGGAAAGATGGACTAAGTAGTAACTATTAGCTCAAATTTCTGTTCTAGTTTCTGACAGGGTTGAAAAGACTAAATGGTTTATACTCCAGCTGTTTAGGCAGAAAAAGAGATAAAATAAGTAGAGTGTGAGAAGATGGTTTGTGGGAAGGGTAAAGAGTGAGTGCTGACCAGCTCACTTTTCCACATGTCTGTGACAAAGGCCAGGTGCCTGAACACTTACTCTCCCCGGCAAGGATGTGTTCTTCTGGAAAGTCTACTTTTCAAATGCCATTTCAAAAGGGACTAAAGAGTGAGAGGGAGGAAGGCTGGGTGCACAAAACCTTCCTGGCATTTTTCCCTGTGAACACTGAGAATAGGGGCAAAGCAAGGTGGCTCACACCTGTAACTCCAGCACTTTGGGAGGCTGAGGCAGGAGGATCACTTTAGCCAGGAGTTCGAGACCAGCCTGGGCAATATAGCAAGACACCGTCTCTAGAAAAAAATTAAAAACTAGTCAGGTGTGGTGGCATGCACCTGTAGTCCCAGTTACTCAGGAGGCTGAGGTAAGATAATCGCTTGAGCCTAGGAGTTCCAGGTTACAGTGAGTGATGACTGTGCCACTGCACTCCAGCCTGGGTGACACAGTGAGATCCTGTCTCAAACCAAAAAAAAAAAAAAAGAACTAATTGAGTAAAGGAGAAATTAAGAAATACATGACCACTGCTGGTATCTTTTTTTTTTTTTTTTTTTTTTTTGAGATGGAGTCTCGCTCTGTCACCCAGGTTAGAAGGCAGTGGTGCCATCTTGGCTCACTGCAACCTCCGCCTCCCAGGTTCAAGTGATTTCTCCTGCCTCAGCCTCCCGAGTAGCTGGAATTACAGATGCATGCCACCACACCTGGCTAATTTATGTATTTTTAGTAGAGATGGGTTTTCACCATGTTGGCCAGGCTGGTCTCAAACCCCTGGCCTCAAGTGATCCTCCCACCTCAGCCTCCCAAAGTGCTGGGATTACAGGCATAAGCCACTGTGCCTGGCCCACTGCTGGTATCTTAAACAGAGCTTTTTAAACTGAATTAGGAAATGACTTAGAAAAGAACCACATTTTTGTTTCCTTGGTTAGAACACTTCTTATACTGGTCATCGGCCTTTGCACGTTCAAGCAGCGTTTCTCTTCCAACCCAGGATCTTGATCCGAAGGCCTCTGAAGGCTCCAGGTCAGCCCCTCAAGCAGACTAAATAACATTCAATGGCATCAAGTTAGCTCATGCTGCCCGTTCTGCTTACCCCAGCCAAAGTCAAAATGTTTTCCAATGATTTGGTCATGATGAGACGCTTCTTGGCTCGAGTTACTGCAACATACAGTAAATTCCATTCATCCTCAGAAAATGACTCTAAACAAAGTAAAGGGGAAAAAAATCAACTAAAAAGCCTTAGAAAAGCTTACAAAACCTTATGTCTCATCTAAATGTTTACTAGCCCCCACCCATTCCCCGCAGAAAACCACTCAACATTTGTTGGCTGTAAATACAAAATTTTCCTACAAATGCCAATTCCAAAAACAAACCAAATCCTAGCAGACTAGTGGCACAAAATACCGGGTTTTATTTAGTCCTGCTACGTAAATCCTGGGAATGTGTTAATTGGTTATTTGACACCCGCGATGTGACAGATGGCTGTTTACAGTCATTATGCCAGTTCCCACAACAAGCCCGTGAGACAGACGGGGAAACCGAGGCTTAGACAGGTTAAGTCACTCCCACAAACAAGCCCATGGCTAATCAAGGGCCTGGGAGCAGGACCGAGTCTGCTCGTCTCTTTCCATTTCCTTACACTGTCTCTGGACTGCCAGAGTCCCATCTGGAAAAGCCTGACACTGTCACAGGACAACAAGGAAGACACACAGGTGTGCTATGTGCTGTGTGTCTGTGCTGTTCAACCGCACCTCTCATCTCCCATCTCGATTCACTACACAATGGCAGGAACTCAACAAAGAACAGCAGACCCGAGGCCGTGCAAAAAGCTGCTGAATTGTACACTTTGGATGGGTGGGTTGTGTGGCATGTAAATTACATGTCCCCCAAAAAAATTACATTTGTAAACATGTAAACCAGAAGCAGGGAAAAGGTGGTACTATAGTAAACTTCTCCATGGCTGCCTCCCTTCCTCTCTCCACTCCAAACCATGGTCTATGTTTGCCAATGGTCACAAATACTGTGGTTTCCATTTTCAGCATGCCGATGTGTGCTAGGCCCCAAATTTCCAGTCCACAGTTAACAGACAGCTTTGTTTGTTTGTACAGAAATTTCAAACAGTTTTATTCTAAGATTTAAAACCAAAGCAATAGCACTGATGCTAAAAGTACAAATTTATTACAAAGTAGCCTTGAGTACAAATTTATTTCAAAGCAGACAAGGCCAGGCATGGTGGCTAACACCTATTATCCCAGCACTTTGGGAGGCCAAGGCAGGTAGATCACCTGAAGTCAGGAGTTCGAGACCAGACTGGCCAACATGGCGAAACCCCGTCTCTACTAAAAATACAAAAATTAGCTGGGCGTGGTGGCACGTGCCTGTAGTCCCAGCTACTCTGAGGCAGGAGAATCACTTGAACCCGGGAGGTGGAGATTGCAGTGAGCCGAGATCGTGCCACTGCACTCCAGCCTGGGTGACAGAGTGAGACTCCATCTCAAAATAATAATAATAATAAGAAGAATAAGAATAAGAATAATAATAACAACAACAACAAGAAAGCAGACAAATGTCTGTGGTGGCTGACGCCTGCAATCCCAACACTTTGGGAAGCTGAAGTGGGAGGATCGCTTGAGCCTAAGACTTTGAGACCAGCCTGAGCAACATAGTGAGACCCCTGTCTGTACCAAAAAACACCAGACAAATGATAAAGAATGCTTACTATTTCTCCTTTTGTGGTTTTCTTCTCTCTTTAATAAAATGAAGAGGAATTAATGAAAGGAAAAAAATGCCATGGTAAGCAAGTAAACTATATTTTAAAGCTTTCATGAGGCTGGAGACTCAAAGTCTGATGGCGAAGAACCTGGAGCTGAGGGCAGTGCAGGGCTCACAGGGCCGCCACAAACATCATCATCCCACACGCAGCCCCCAGAGGGGTGCACCTTGAGGAAGTTTTGTTTTTTAAAAAACCACAGTATAAGAATCAAAAGTTTAGGACTAGGAGGTGTTTTGTGGTTTAGTTTTTCCAGAAGTGCCCTACCAGGAGGCCACACCATCCAACAAACAACAAGGCCGTGCAAAGGAAGCATTCCAGTCACCACTCACTACATACAGCAGCACCTGACACTACCCGGCGGCCTCTTACCAACTCTGAAGTGCGGAAGCTGGGGCAGGTTATGCCGGGCACAAGGCACTTTCACAAAATCATCCAAAACATGCACAGTGTCAAACTCCAGGCCTTTGGCTTTGTGCACAGTGCCCAGAATGTACTCTAGGATAAAAACACAGCACACGTTAGATGGTGCTTCAAAGGGAAAGAAACAAGATGACAAAAACATACATGTTTCCCACTTGACTCTGAACTCGAACATTTCTTGCCTCAGTGCAGTTTTGTAGGAAAAGGGGGAAAGAGGAAACAACTGTCGGGAACAGACAACTGTCGGGAACAGAAAAAAGAAAAAGACGAGGGGAAAAGTCGAAAATTAGTTGCAGGAGAGTTAACGCCTCTCGGAATCACATCCCAGAGGACAGAGTGGCTCCACCCACCGTCTGGATCTAACACATGAAGGGACAGAGCCCAGAAGAGGGCTGCACAGCTTGCCTGACATTACACGTGGCAGAGCTGGGACTAGAAAATCCCATTGTACGGGCTTGAAAGTAGAACAGAATAAAGAGCCCCTGAGGAAGAACCAGGACTCTGCTCCCCTTTCCCTTAAGCAATAAAGCCATCCTTGCTCAAAGATATTCCACACAGGGAAGAAACAGCAGAAGAGGCTGGGCGCAGTGGCTCACGCCTGTAATTCTAGCACTTTGGGAGGTCGAGGTGGGCAGATTACCTGAGGTTGGGAGTTCGAGACCAGCCTGGCCAACATGGTGAGACTCCATCTCTACAAAAAATACACAAACTAGCCGGGCTGGTGGTGGGGCCTGTAGTCCCAGCTACTCACGAGGCTGAGGCAGGATAATTGCTTGAACCCAGAAGGTGGGCATTGCAGTGAGCCAAGATCACGCCACTGCACTCCAGCCTGGGCAACAGAGCAATACTCTGTCTCAAAAAAAAAAAAAGAACAGCAGAAGACCATCTGTTCCTCCTCTTAGGGGGAAGGTAAAAACCAACTGCTTCCCTTACCTGCAAAGTCCAAATCTTCTATATGGCATTTTTCTATCCTTTGCACCAGCTCTGGAATCCTGATGTTATACTTTTCAACAACTGCGATCTTGGCTTCAAGCTCCTTGTCCTCGGCAGCGGTCACATACCTCTTGAAGCCACTAAAGCCTTCTTTGTGCACCCATCTTCTGATAAATTTGTCTTTAATGACGAGGTTTTCTAAGAAGAATATACACACAAATTAAGGTGACACAAGCTCCACTAACAGATGGTGGCAGGTGCTGCACGTTCCTAAGCAGCTGCGCAAGAGCAGATGGTCTTAAAGTGGGGAGACCCGGGTTCCAGGCCTGACTGCATCACTAACTCGCTGTGTGTCCCTGGGCAAGTCAGTGCAGTGCAGTAGCCTCTCCGTCTCCGACTGAGGAGCAAAGCCCTCGGCTCAAGATCCTCACCTACTTCACAGGGATTTGAAATAGTGCAGTCAACAGGAAAAGAAAAGCGCTATAGAAATGCTCGACGCTATCACTTGGGGCCCACGTGGAAGTATCAACGTATAAATTGGCCCAGGCAGACAGAAGGATGCAGGGGAAGACAGTCTATGGGACCAGTGTTGGAAAGAGACTGAGGCTCCTGTGAGGAGGATCTGGAAAAATCTGTCAGTACCTATGAAAACAGGAGGCCCGAGGCACCCCCCTCGTCATGGGAAGACAGCAACACTAGCTCGCCCTTCTCTGGAGGGAAACGGGTCCCTGACTCAGACTGGGCCTGCTTCTTTCTCGTCCCTGTCACTTGGGTGCGTCCTTCCAATGCACCAAGGCCAGGTGGGTACTCACGTTTCCTCCGTTCTTCCTCTGGCTGAAGAAGGATCCAAATATCAATGATTCTGTCCAATCCAAATGATTTAATCCCCTGAAAAAGTTTTTTGGTGGGATTTTTGTTTTTTTGTTGTTTTTTGTTTTGTTTTGTTTGTTGTTGCTTTAACAAAACAAAATAAAGCAAATGCAGGGATGGGGTTTTGAAATGAGATGGTTTCTTGGAAATGGATCTTGAGTGACACCCAAAGCACAGGCGGCAAGCAGGAAACTTCATGAAGCAGAAAGCGCAAGGCTGCCACGTGGCCTGAACACTCACAGGGACCACATTCTAAGTTACAGCTGCTACCTCAAACTCTTCCTACGCTTTTAAAAAGGGCAAGACCTACAGCTGCATACTGCTTTCCCATCAATAAAAAGGCAATTTAAGCATCTTCCAAGAACATAAGACGATTCCAAAGAACACAAATGGCACCTGAATACAAAGTGCTGGGTATGCACATTTACCACTGTTTCTTGTGAGAAAAGAACTACAGGCCAGGCGCAGTGGCTCATGCCTGTAATCCCAGCACTTTGGGAGGCTGAGGCAGGTGGATCACTTGAGGCCAGGAGTTCAAGACCAGCCTGGCCAACATGGTGAAACCCCGTCTCTACCAAAAATACAAAAATTAGCCGGGTGTGGTGGCAGGCGCCTATGGTCCCAGCTAGTCAGGAGGCCGAGGCACGAGAATCTCTCAAACTGGGAGGCAGAGGTTACAGCAAACCGAGATCACACCATTGCACTCCAGCCTGGGTGACAAAGCAAGACTCTGTCTCAAAAAAAAGAAATTACAGAACGTCTCTAGGTCCAGATTATTCTACATTTTAACAGGTCAGCTCCTGGAGGAGACAGCCTGACTGTGCCCTGTTTAGCTCAGATCTTCCAAAAGCATCTGCTGAGCACTGGCTGGGCTCCGGCACTCACACAGCACCAGGCCCCACATAGAAGACAGACACAACCAGGGCCCCACACTCCAAGAGCTTGTCATCTTTTAGGGAGGGACACATAAAACACTCACATAAAACAGCGGGCAAAATAACACAGTTGACATTATAACCCACAACCAGGTGTGTGATCACGTGTAATGACACATGGTACAGCTAGTAAGTGGATTTAAGAGAGGTGTAGAGAACCACTTACTTTATATCATGCCAGTGTGTATGATATTCCAAAAATACTACTCTTACAACAATGACCATGGCTAAATTATGTTATATCTACCAGACCAAATATTATAAGGTCATCAAAGTACTAATGAAAGAAAATATGCCTATGTGTTGAGTGAAAAACAGCATCCATTTCTGTGTACCCTACAATTGCAATTATGCAAAAATACACATCTATAAGGACAAAGACAAAAATAGCAAAAATGAGAATTATTATATGAAATACTGGGATTATGTGTTCTTTTTTTAGGTTCCAAAATTTCTATACCATTGTTATATAGTCTTTATAAACAAAAAACTTAAAACACCTTTTGATTATGATTCACTACTATATTCACTGAGTGCCTAATGCATAGTAGGCTCTTGAAAATCTTTCCATAAATGAATGAGTGAATATCTTTTTATCATATAACTGTGCTTCAGGGTTAAAAATGCTGTAAACATGCCACTGAATCCTTCTAACTCCCTGTGAAACAGGTAAGGCAAGGCATTATTTTATCTGAGATGGAGAGAATGAGGCATACAGAAGTTGTGACTTGCCCCAAGCCACACACGGTTAGTGACCAGTCAGAACTAGAGCCTAGGTGTGTACTCTGCGTGTTGTCAGCTCAGCTGTTCTCACACTAATGACAACACATGACTAGAAAAGCTTCCAGTAACCCGCGGCCTCACTGGCATTGCCAAGGGAAGAAGGGCATTCATTGTTAAAAGAGTGGAAACTAAGGTCCCCAGCCCTTCTTGTGTCTGCCTTTCCAGGAATGTTTCGCTGGCATAATCAGAATGGCCTGGGATAGAGACCACTCATGGTGCAGCCTGGTGGAAAGAGTCAAAAACCCAAATGCTTTCTTGCATGATAATCCCAAGGAAGGTGAACATTTCCATTGGGTATGTTCGTCTACAACGTTTCTGTGCATGAAGTGGTCAACAGAAATGTACTCTTACCCCAATCAAATGTATCCTTGAAGGGAATTCCCCTTCCGTCACCCGTACGGCCTCATCAAACACGTTGGCGTTGGTCCGGGACAACAAGGCCACTTGCCCCTTTGCGTCACCTCTAATGCCACCTTTAGGGAGAGAGCACAAACTCTATGGCAAATTGAAATAAAGAGGAAAACTTTTGTAACACAAAAGAGAAGAGTAACTAAAAGCCTTACTCTGATGGTTTCCTCCAACCAAAGTCTTTTTCCTGACTCTCTTGCAAACATCCAAGATAGTAGCTCCCACATAAGCTATTTCCACACCAAACCGAAAACTCTGAAAACAACAAGACAGAGGGAGTCAGCAGCCCGCCCTGTGGTGTGTCCGTGCATTTCCATCACTGCTGCCACAGCCTGGCCGGGCCAGACCCTACAAGTTGTTCCTGACCCCCCGCATGGAAAGCGAACTTCACAGGCTCACTTTCAAGGTCCTTCACAACTCAGCAGTCTTTATTTTCCATTATTCTCAACACCAATAGTAAATTTTTCTTTTAAGCAAATCTACCCTTTTCTCCAAATCAAATCTAGTGAAGTCTAAATCATACAAAAGATGAAGATCGGGTAAGGAGGGCTTCTCCCCTTGCCTTTGAGATCCCTCTCCACACTACCTTTAAAACTACTGCCCTGCACCAACCAGCCATGGCAGAAGCACTAGCACCTGCACATTGTCCGTGCTGCCCTGCCTCAGCCCACGCGGTTTTCTGTCTGACTTTCATCCACCAAAGTCACTTCCTAACCTTCAAAACTCAGCCCAAGACCCTGCTTCCTTCGCCCCTCCAGCTGGCAAGATATCATTCTTCCCTACACTCGGGGTGTGTACAGCCTTTTTCCATGCACACACAACTTCATGTGCTTTGGTGAATAGCAGTAACAGTCAAACGAAAACTAGACTTTAAACAAACACTACTTTGTTGCTATAAAACTACTCTGAGTGAACCATAACCGAAATTATAACATAAATATCCATGAGTTCATATTAAGATAGATAAATGATTGAATATTTAAATAGATGGGAGAGAAAAAACAAATCTCCTTTACAGAAGAATTCCAAATAATTTGGGAAGATTCTCCAACACTTACTCCTTGAGTGTGGACTGCATATAGGGACTTCCTTCCAAAGCATCCAGTAAGGAAAGGATGAAAAAAAGTGGAACTCTACAGTGAAGAAACCTGACAAACACTACATCAGCCAGGTGGTCAAGGTCAACATCAAGTCATGAGCCATGGTGACAGTATGCACCTCAACACCATGTGATGAAAATGGCGCTTCACCTCTGTGGTCTTCCTCCCAGAACCCAGGACTCTAGCCTAACCATGAGAAAAGACATTAGACAAATCCCAGCACAGGGGCAGCCTACAAATGCCTGACTGGAACTTCTGGAAAATGTGAAGGTCACATCAGAAATAGGGAAAGTCTGAGCAACTGTCACAGCCAAGAAGAGCCTCATGACACATGGTTACATGTAATGTGGGATCCTGGATGGGCTCCTGAAGTCACAAAAGACATTATTTCAAAACTAAGGAAATGCAAATGAACCATGGACTTCAGTCCATAATAATGTATCAATGTTGGTTCATTATCGTGACAAGTGTTCCACATTAATATAAGACGATAAGATGTTAGTAATGGGAAACTGAGTACAGGATATATGGGAACTCTCCTCTCGATTTTTCTGTAAATCTGAAACTGTTCTAAAAAAATACCATCTATTAAAAGAACAAATCACCTCTGCAGTGACGCTACCCTAAATCACCACAGCAGTAGGAGCTCAAGGGAAGAGTCACAGAGGCGTCTACGGAACTTTCAATAACATCACAAAACACAGCACAGTTGATACTTTCATCCAAGTGAGACATCTCTTCTAATCAGAAATAAGTTTCTTAAAAGCAGTGGTTCTCGAACTGCTGGTCTCAGGATGCTTCACACTTAAAAATCACACTTAAAAAGCCTCCAAAGAGCTTTTATTTACATGAGCTCTATCTATCTATATTTACCATATTATAAATTTTAATTCATTTAAAAATAACTATTAAAAACTATTTTTTTTTAAGACAGAGTCTCATTCTGTCACCCAGGCTGGAGTACAATGGTGCGACCTCGGCTCACTGCAACCTCTGCCTCCTGGGTTCAAGTGATTCTCCTGCCTCAGCCTCCTGAGTAGCTGACACTACAGGCGGGAGCCACCACACCTGGCTAATTTTTGTATTTTTAATAGAGACAGGGTTTTACCATGTTGGCCAGGCTGGTCTTGAACTCCTGACCTCAAGTGATCTGTCCTTCTTGGCCTCCCAAAATGCTGGGATTACAGGCATGAGCCACCATGCCCAGCCAAAAGCCTCTTATATGATGACATAAAGAACATATTTTTTGAAACATATTTCCGAGAACAAAAAAAAATGCAGCAAGAAGAGTGGCACCATGTTCCATTTTTGCAAATCTCTTC